>NC_000009.12:32434242-32585757 GCF_000001405.40 Homo sapiens | reverse complement strand
AACTTAGTTGATAAAGCAGCAGCATGGTTTGAGAGGATTGACTCCAATTTTGAAAGAAATTATTTTGGAAGCATAAACAGAAGACAGCCGCATTTATATACAATGCTCAACAGTACATTTTACTAATAGTGAAGACTTTTAAGACTCTTAAGTCACGTCTATGAAGTAAAAAATGAAGGCAAATTGTATCAATTACCATGTAAATTTGTATTATAATCAGTTGAAATGATTCAGATCCCACTTTTTTTCCCTCCAAAAGCCATCTTTCAACCAAGAAAATCAACTAAAACTAAGGAGAAAAAAAGACAAAATTAGTTACTCACGGTGGGAAAAGAGAAAAGAAGGAAAGGAAGAACAAAAAGAAAACATACCTTTCTGGAAGACTTTAGAAAATTTTAGGCTTAAACACTTGACCTCTGAGATTCCATGAGATGCATCATTATGAAATGTAATTTACTAGGTTGAAATTAAAGAATAATCTCTTACATCTAAGAATACTAGATCTTTCCTCAAAAAACTACAAATAGAACTACCATATGATCTAGCAATTCTACTTCTAGATATATATCCAAAGGAATTGAAATCAATATGTTGAAAAGATTTTTATCTGTGCCCCCATGTTCATTGCAGCACTATTCACAATAGCCTATGATGTGGAATCAACCTAAGTGTTCATCAGTGAATGAATAGCTAAAGAAAATGTGGTATGTATACACAATGGAATGCTATTCAGCCTTAAAAAAATACGGAAATCCTGTCATTTGCAACAGCATGAATGAATTAGAGGACGTTATAGTACATGAAATAAACCAGGCAATAAAGACAAATACCACATGATCTCACATATACATGGAATCTAAAAAAAGTCAAACTCATGAAAGTAAACAGTAGAATGGTAGTTACCAGAGGCTGGGAGTAAGGGGGAGTGGGTAGACAGAGAGATGTTGGTCAAAGGGTACAACATTTAAGTTAGGCGAGAGGAATAAATTTGTGGGATGTGTTACACAGCAGGGTGCCTACAGTTAAAATAGTGTATACATCAAAATTGCTAAAAGAATAAATCTTTTTTTCTTTTCTTTTCTTTTCTTTTCTTTTTTTTTTTTTTAGACAGAGTCTCGCTCTGTCACCCAGGCTGGAGTGCAGTGGCATGATCATGGCTCACTTTAGCCTCAGCCTCCCAGTCTCAAGTGATCCTCTCATCCCAGCCTCCCAAGTAGCTGGGACCATGGGCATACACCACCACGCTGGGCTAATTTTTTAATTTTTGTAGACACGGGGGTCTGACTATGTTGCCCAGACTGATCTTGAACACCTGGGCTCAAGTGATCCTCCCGCCTCAACCTCCCAAAACGCTGGGATTACAGGTGTGAGCCACTGTGCCCAGCCAAAGAGAGTAAATTTCTAATGTCTCACCACAGAAAATTAGTAAGTGATGGATATATTAATTAGCTTGATTTAATCATTCTACAGTGTATTCAAAACATTATATTGTACCCCATAAATATATATACTTATTACTATTATTATTTTCTAGAGACAGGGTGTCACTATATTGCCCAGGCTCGTCTCAAATTCCTGACCTCAAGCAATCCTCCTGCCTTGGCCTCCCAAAGTGCTGGGATTACAAGCGTAAGCCACCATGCCCTGCCACATATATAATGATTATCTGTCAACTAAAAATAATACTAACAATGTGTTTTGAAAAAAATATTAGATCCTACAAAGTTAGTTGTCATTCTAGTCCCTAAAAGGCAGTGCAGCTGAGCTTTTGATTATATGCCTACTCTGGTTTTCTTTAGTTTATTCCCTGTTGATTATTAATAACTTTATAGAAAAAATAAACTTATATGATGTTATAACAGTGTTTTTCAAAGTTAAATAATATAATAATCCCTTTTAGAGGAGCAAAAAATTATTGCATATCTCCAGTGTTAAATTATTTTTATTCCTTTAAGTGTTCATAATCATCAAATTACATATACACTCAGTGTATAGTTTGTTTCAACTATAAAACTGAAATTAATTTTCAAGTTAAGTGCAAACAAAAGCATAAAACTAATAAAATTCAAGGAATAATGTTTTCATAAAACAAAAACAATGGTATGGGTTGAATAGTGGAAAGATGCATTTGGAGATTTTATGCTTCATTGTGTATTGCATTGACTTTGAACACACTGGAACATTATTTGAGTCACGGGCATTTTTCTATTTTTCCTTTTAAATAATGACAATCATTTGAACCAATTCATTGTTTTGAAGAGCTGATCTGCTTCATAGCACCCTCCAAGTTGCGATAGTAATAAAATATTAGAACAATTAAAAGTCATAATAAATGCTTTTCCATTTGGCCTATTTATTACCTCACCTACTAAAGGAAGTGTCATGTGAAGTGTGCTACGAGGTGACTGTCTTCACTACCTCCCTACATCTGAACGACTATGAAACCTTTATTCATATAAAGTGCCAGAACATTACAGGGCCTCCTCTTGGCTCCCACATAATTGTAAACACTCATACGGTTTGGGTATTTGGTTATAAGGTGGTTATCCAAGTGATCTAGAATATACTCACGCCAGAGTTTTAAAATCATCATTGAAATGAAAACACAAAGTTCAGAAACTTTTGCAGAGAACTCGAGGGCTCCTGTGTTACAAAGTTAGTGATTTTAATCAGTTGCTCTTTCCTTTGTTTTGTTTTGCTTTTGTTTCTGAGACGGAGTCTAGCTGTCGCCCAGGCTGGAGTGCAGTGGCGCGATCTCGGCTCACTGCCAGCTCCGCCTCCCGGGTTCACGCCATTCTCCTGCCTCAGCCTCCCGAGTAGCTGGGACTACAGGCGCCCACCACCACGCCCGGCTAATTTTTTTGTATTTTTAGTAGAGATGGGGTTTCACCGTGTTAGCCAGGATGGTCTCGATTTCTTAACCTCGTGATCCGCCCCCCTCGGCCTCCCAAAGTGCTGGGATTACAGGCGTGAGCCACTGCGCCGGGCCAATCAGTTGCTCTTTCTGAAGAGAGTTTCACTGGCACCGCACCACTTGCCACTGAGAGCGCTGGGGTCCAACTAGAAGTCAAATTTGAGCAAATGAATATTGTTTTAGACTACTAAATGTTTAAGACGTCAGACAAGTGATTCTGCTCTACTAATATCAGAAGGATAAGAAGACAGTGGTAGTCAAGCCCATTGTGCTCCCCAGATGGAAACTAATATTCAACTAAAGGTGCAGCTCAAAACTCCGTCTCTGGTACACTGTGTGTGACCGTCTGCCCTATAAGTAGCAAACTCCACCATGAATTGCTGATGCCATTAGTTTCTGTGTATCTCCAAAACACTGACCAGAAAATTCCACAGTAGGGATTTGTAAGAGAATGCCCTCGCTTGTGCATCTTCACAGATTTTTCTGATCAACATGAGCAAGTTTGCCTCCTTGTCCCCTTGAAAATAATAATGTCTTGTGTGGTTGGGTGAAGCTATATATATATATATTTTTTGTTTTGTTTTGTTTTGTTTTGTTTTTGCTAAAAAAAGAATCTTACAGGGAGATAAAGGGATTTCTGGAGGAATTAATTTTTTTTTCAATTATGTGGGACAAATGGTGCTTAAAATGAAGATAGGACAAAGGCTCTTAAATTTTTGACTGAACAATGGAAAGGGAACTTGGATGTGGAACTCCCATCTCCATTCCTGGTTGCAGACTCAGTCTGACGGGGAGGTCTTGCACTCAAAGCTGTCTTCTCTCCACAGCCTCTGAAATCCACGGCCTGTGTGCCCCAATTAGTACACTCTGCCAGGGGACAAATGAAGCACCCTACTGGCTTTTAAAAACATAGCTGGAGGTGTAGACCCTTATTAGACAGATCCAAAGTTTAAGACATAACCTTACTGACAGAAGACACCTCCTCATCTTATTTCCTGGCCCCATCTCTTCCCTGCCCACTGTGCTTTAGCTCCTTTGAGTTTTGTGGGCTGGTTACTGAGGCCTTAGATAAAATGCAATTTACCTGTATTTCTAATTTTTCAGCAAGTTAGAGTGCCCTCTGGTGGGAATGTCTCCAGTAGTTACCCAGGTCTTGCAGACTATCTGAATTTGTGAGTCCACATTTTCTGCTTGTGCTAAGCTGAACACGGTCTCTCACTGCTCCCTTTTTATTCAACTCAGCCTCATGAGTTTCACAGCCAGAGATAAGTGAGAAAGGATGGAAATGTGGTCATCAGTAGCCAGTGGTATATTTTTCTAAGCAATATTGATTTTATTTATGTTTATTTTCAAATGTGGTAGTGGTGGGGAGTGGGGAGGATGTAGTAATTTCCCAGAGTAAGCCAGAATGATGGTTCCAAATTCAAGAAATACTAAATGTATTTAACTCCACTCGCAAAGGAAACATTTGGGTTATCAAATGACTCATTGTGTAACTAAGTGTCCTGTTTTTAAAAGTTTTTCTCTCTCTCTTTCCTGCCCGTTCCTTGTCTTGCCTTTAACAATGAGATAATAGTCTTTGCTCTCACTCTTTCTCCCAGGCACCCCTTTGCACAGTGTTTCCCTTATCTAATTACGTGTTTGTTTAGAAGTTCCAGAGACTAAATCTTAAAGCAATTCAGTCTACTGTGGGATTCTCCCCCACCTGGAGATTACTTCAAGGCTGCAGTTAATTTGCAACCTGGCTGTCCCAGAGATGGCACTAGCCCACACACCAGATGGGGCAACAGCTCAAGATAGTCATCAGAACAAGTCACATAGGCTGACCCCTATCACCACTCCTGCATGCCCATCATACCAAACTCCCCTTTAGCCTTTACCCTTGACCTAGAAAGCTGAAACGGTTTCTTTAAGGCACTAGCTTTGGCCATTTTTCCACTGCTAGCTCTGGAATAAAGTAACTTTCCTTTAGCTGTAGTTCATCTTTGTTATTGGCTTTGCAAGTGGTGAGCAGCTGAGCCTGCACTCGGTAACAATTGGGAACCTAAATATAGTATTTCCTGTGATGTTTAAGCACTCAGGGGCTTACTCTCCCTTTAGTATCAATTGTTCAGATCTCACCATAACAAAGTTGAGAGTTCCAATGTAAGTAGTTTGCAAAATTTTAGTCCAAAATGTAATAAGACAGACTGAGGATTAGTAATAGTTTAAATACACAGTTTAGTTACTACTTCAAGGCATTTTTTTTTGGTGGGGGGTGGGGGGGCGGGTCTTAGTATGTTGCCTAGGCTGGTCTCGAACTCCTGGGCTTACAGAATCCTCCTGTCTCAGCCTCCCAAAGCAATGAGATTAGCCACTGTGCCCAGCCTCAAGGCATAATTAAAAAATTTTTTTATTTAGAATATTTTTAAATATTTACAAAATAGTATATGAGAGACTATAATAAGCCCCCATTTAGCTATCAGATAGCTTCAACAGTTGCCAACTTATTACTAGTCTTATTTCTCTATGCCTTCTTCCTCCTTTCTCAATTATTCAGAAGTAAACTTCAGACCTCTTACCCTTTCATCTATAAATATTTCAGAAGAGATCTCTAAGAGATTAGAACTTCCTTTCAAAAATATAACCACAAATCATCATACACAAAAAAATTAATGACAATTCCCTAATATATCGAGGTAATGTTTAAATTTCCCTCTGTCTCTTTTAATCTATGGATTCTCCTCTCTCTCCTTTCTTTTTACTCAATATATTTTATAAGAAACCGAATCACTTATATGCAGTTCCTACAATCTAGATTTATCTCAATGTATCATTTTGGTGTTGTATAAGGAGCTCCTCTGTTATTAAATAACTAGTTAGATCTAGAAACTTGATCAGATTCAGGTTCAATGTTTGGCAAGGCAACTTCACAGGCAATGAGGCAGCTTTCCACCAGGAGGCGCAGTTGGTCCCTTTTTGAGATGTTTGCAGCTATTGACGGATAAACCACTGCATTGATTTATTAATAAACTTTAACAGTTGCAAAATGGTGATATTCTAACTGTGCCATCCCCTTTTCTTTCATTAGCTTTTTAATGATTCTTTGAAGAAATTTCCCCTCATGAATCATTTTATTACTTTAAGATGCAATTTGTATAGAGAGCCTAGAAAAATGCTTGATTTTTTTTCCTTGCCAGTTTTCAAAACGAGTTAGTTCTTCTGAAGAATAGAGAGGAAAAACAAATTCAGTTTCTCACACTATAGTCTCACAACCCACTTCTGACACCAGAAGCAGGGGTGTTCTCCTCCCCTCCCCGTCCCCTGACCAGCCGACCTCAAGCAAGCAATCAATTCTGCAGGAGACACTAGCTGGGTGTCCTCTAATTCAATTCAGTTCTGACACTAACTACCTGGAGACAGTGTTGCAGGACAGAGAAATATGTTACAGGAAAGAGGTCCCAATCCAGACCCGAGAGAGGGTTCTTGGATCTCGTGCAAGAAAGAATTCAGGGCAAGTTCGCAGTGCAAAGTGAAAGGAAGTTTATTAAGAAAGTAAAGGAATAAAAGAATGGCTATTCCATAGTCAGAGCAACCCTGAGGGCTGCTGGTTGCCCATTTTTAATGGCTATTTCTTGATGATATGCTAAACAAGGGGTGGATTATTCATGCCTCCCCTTTGTAGACCATATAGGGTAACTTCCTGACGTTGCTATGGCATTTGTCAACCGTCATGGTGCTGGTGGGAGTGTCCAGTAAGGATGACCAGAGGTCAGTCTTGTCGCTATTTTGGTTTTGGTGGATTTTGGCCCACTCCTTTACTGCAACCTGTTTTATCACCAAGGTCTTTATGACCTGTATTTTGTGCTGATCTTCCATTTCATCCTGTGACTTAGAATGCCTTAACCATCTGGGAATGCAGCCCAGTGGGTTTCAGCCTCATTTTACCCAGCTATTTGAGATGGAGTTGCTCTGATTCACACACCTTTGACAATAGCATCAGAACCCACAGGTTGAGGGCTCAGCCCCACAAGAGTTCTTCCCACTTCAGATCTGAAGTAACAAGTTCTCACCCATATTTCTGTCCAATCGGCTATAAATTGGGTTTCTATGACCGCCCTGCTCTGGCTTTATTAATTTGTTCGGACAATTCACAGAACTCAGGAAAACACGTTTTCTGGCTTATTATTGTAAAAGATATTACAAAGGCTACAGAAGAACAGTCAGATGGAACAGGTGCACACAGCAAGGTATGTGGGAAGGGGTGTGGAGTTTCCATGCCGTCTCTGCCACCCTCCAGGAACCTCCATATGTTCAGCTATCCAGTCTTTTTGGATTTTTATGGAAGCTTCATTACACAGGCATGACTGATTAAATTATTGGCCATTGGTAATGAACTCAACCTTCAGGCCCTCTCTCCTCACCAAAAGTTGAGGTGTTGGGGCTGGAAGCCCCAACCCTGTAATTATGCCTTATTGTTTCCAGTGACCAATTCTTATCCTGAGGCTATCCAGGGAAAGCCAGTCATGAATCATTAGCATACAAAAAGACACATCACTTTGGAGATTCCAAGGATTTTAGAAGCTATGTGCCAGGAAATGGGAAGAAGACCAAATATCTGTTTTACAACATCACAGTTCCCTAACATCATCCAAAGGTGACAAGTGAGGTTTTAAAAAATCATTATGAATTCATGTATGTGAATATATTTGATATTTTTCAATCCACTGAAGTTATTATACTTGTCGATGCTCAAATTTTCCCATCTTTAACCAGTGGGAACCTATTTAAGTTGGCTCCCAAATCCTTTTGACATAACCCTACTGGCCTTTAAAACTTCCCTGCTTTCCGACATGATAAGATGTTCCAGGCTTTCTTTACGTTTCCTAATCCGACCCAGGCCTGGGGTTAGCCATTTTTCCAAGGCAGAGGTTCTCAAAGTTTGGCCCAGGTCCTCTTAAGAGTCCCTGTGATCCTTTTATGGGGTCCGTGATGTCAAGATTATTTTCATAGTAAGAGTTATCACTCAGTATCCATGTCCCCAAGGATACTGAGGGTCCCAGGACCCCTCTCAGATACCCAAATCCACAGATGCTCATCTCCCTTGATAAAAGAAAAACTGTAGACAAATTAAATTTAACAAAGTTTAATTGATCAAGGAAAAAGCAATTCGCAAATTGGGCCCTCAGAATCACAGCAAATTCAGAGAGTTATTTCTGCACAGTTGGAGAGATTTTAAGAATAGAAAAAGGAAACTGAAATACAAAAAAAAAAAAAAACACAACAGAAGTGAGGTACAGAAACAGCCAGATTGGTTACAGCTTGGCGTTTGCCTTATTTAGACCTGGTTTGGACAGTTGGCCACCTGTGAGTGGCTGAAGTATGGCTGCAGTGATTGACTGAGATGCAGCTATTGTTACAGAAGTATGTCTCCATTAGATTTTTCAGTTTGCTTATCTATTAAGTTAGGTTGCAATTCCTAAGTAAGAACTCCAGTATGCAAGTATGGAGACTTTCTCGGGCCAGATTTTAGTTTGGTTTAGCACCCTCATATAAAATGGGGTAGTATTTGCATATAACCTATGCACATCCTCACATATACTTTAAATCATCTCTAGGTTATGTAACTGAGTATCCCCATTTTTCTAAGAAAAAGAGAATGAGTTATTTTTTTTATTAGTTTTCTTCTTTTCTCTTCTGTTTCTTGCTATTCTCCACTTCCTACTAGCCCGTTTGAAATGCAATTATAACCTTTACCTCCCCTTCACCAGACACTCCCTACAGGGCAAGTTCATCTAACTTTGTACTCAGAAGCTCCAGAACAAACTCTCACCCACCAGGAGATTGCCTCAAGAGGTAACAGTCGATTTACAACCCAAAGTATACATGATGAGAAACTCTTTCCCACCGGGAAAGTTTTTGGCCATTTTAATAACTTATTTCTGCCCATGAAGATGCCAACTTGACTGCCTAGTAGATAAGGTGCCAAGCTAGCATGTGGACTTCCTACCCACTTGCTGTCTCCCCTGCCTTTCGAAAGTACCCACTTTCTGCTCCAAAAGTGGAGCAGTACCTTTGAGGCTGGAAGCCCATACTTCTTCCCCTAAGCTAGCTTTGGAATACAAAGTCACTTTCTTTATACCAGACCTCGCTCTTGTTAACTGGACTCTGCAAGTGTTGAGTGACTAAACCTGTGTTTCAGTTACAATTACTTATAATACCTAATACAATGTCAATACTCTGTCAATAGTTGTTAGGCTGTATTGTTTAAAATTCATATTACTTTTTATTGTTTTTTTTCCTGAATAGTTTCTATCTGTGGTTGGCTGAATATGTAATTGTGGAACCCACAGATACAGATGACTGACTGTTTGCCCTTTTTATTTTACCCTTATAAAGTCTCATTCTCTCACAAATATACATGGGGATTTTCAGAGGCTATACGATGTGTTACATTATGATTGAATGCAGAAGCAGTTATAACAATTCTGCTGTCATTTATGAAGCAAGACATTAAAGACATTTACAAAAATGTAAAACAATGGCACTCTTCTCACTAATTTTTTAATGAGTACATTGTTACTTTAAAATGTTTAATTTCTAATGCAGTAAACATCAATAGATTAACCCACATAAACAAAAGCTCTTTGGGATCTCCAACAATTTTTAAGAATTTGAAGAAGTCTTGGAAGCAAAACTTTTGAGAACTGCTGCTTCAAGCAGTCCTAGTTCCTTTCAGTGGAAAATGTACATGAGAGATCACAACCTAAGAACAAAAGATGCTCATGATTATTGGTTTGCCAATTTCTTTTAGGCCATTATCAACAGGTAGAGCTAAGACAAAATTATATACATTTTTAAAGATAAAATACAATATGAGTTCATACTGATTCTTCCTGTTCACAATTTGACTATAGGATTTTTACTTAAACACATACAATTTATATACATGTCTCCCCATACCAAAAAAGATCAGTTTTTACAACACTCACGTAAACAGTTATTTTCAGTGTCAGATTAACAATACCATGATCAACACCACTATCCTCAATATGATTATTTAAAACAGTTTAAGATTTTTTTTTTTTTTTTTTGAGACGGAGCCTCTCTCTGTCACCCAGGCTGGAGTGCAGTGGCGCGATCTCGGCTCACTGCAAGCTCCGCCTCCCAGGTTCATGCCATTCTCCTGCCTCAGCCTCCCGAGTAGCTAGGACTACAGGCGCCTGCCACCACACCTGGCTAATTTTTGTATTTTTAGTAGAGACGGGGTTTCACTGTGTTAGCTAGGAAGGTCTCGATCTCCTGACCTTGTGATCCACCCGCCTTGGCCTCCCAAAGTGCTGGGATTACAGGCGTGAGCCACCACGCCTGGCCAAGATTTTTTTTAAGTTGTTTTTTTTTTGTTTGTTTTTGCGGGTTGTCTCTCAGTGGATTTACAATAATTCAATGGTTTAAAGTTATAGTTGATCCTTGAAAAAAACAGGTTGAACTTCGAGGGTCCATCATACGTGGATTTTCTTCTGCCTCTGGCACCCCAAGACAGCAAGACCAACCCCTCTCTTTGCCTCCTTATGATTTTCTTAATAACAGTTTATTTTCTCTGGCTTACTTTATTGTAATAATATAGCATATAATACATATACAAAATGTGTGTTAATTGACTGTATGTTATCAGTAAAACTTCTGGTCAAGAGTAGGCTATTAAGTTTTTGGAGAGTCCAAAGTTATATGTGGATGTTTGATTGTGCCAAGTGGAGGGGATTGGCACTACTAACCCTAGCGTTGTTACAAGGGCTATTGTATTTAGAATGATGTGTACCTTTGAGATTATGCCACCAAGTGGACCAATTAAGAGCTACTGGTTTTTACTTGATTTTTATGGACTGCTTTTTGTAAATTTAATTTTGTTTTGTAATGATATTGTTAAAATTAAAACTTTAGAAAAATTAAATTTAGCAGAAATTAATTGAGCAATGACCAATTTGAGAATCAGGCAGCCCTCAGAACCAGAGGAGGTTCAGAAAGTATCGTTCCACAAAGAGGCCAGGCAGCACGCATAGAAAAAAAACAGAAATGAGATACAGAAACAGCTTGATTGGCTACAGGTTGGCCTTTGCCTTATTTGAACATGGGCTGATCAGTTGACCACCTGTGATGATTGGCTGAGACTCAGTTATTTGTTACAGAAGTATATTCCTAAGTTAGGCTGTGAGTTAAATTGCATACTAAGTTGGGTTGCAGTTCATTATATAAGGACTCAAAATACGGAGACATCTTTAAGCTAAATTTAATTTCACAATATGAAATATTTACTTGGTTCTAAAGTCAAATTTATGAAGTAAGATGTTTCCAGAGATGTCTAGATTCTATCCCTGTCTCCTCTATCCTATTTATTTCCTCCACCATAGGTAGCATCTTTAAAAACCTCAATTGTTTTCATTCCCATTATTTTGAAAATTTAAGAAAATATGTATATATATTGAAATTACCACCATCTTTCTCTTTTTGGGTAAAAGCATACTGTACAAATTCCTATCCATTTTTTTTCCACTTTGTAATGTATTCTGGAGATCACACCACAGATGTATATAGAGTTCTTCCTTATTACTTTTGACGATTGTATTAGCATTTCATTGCTTTGTTGTGTGAAAGTTTTTGGGAAGCCACTGTTTTGGACTAGCTTCACGCACTAGGCCCCAGCAGACCAGACCAAACCAGAATGGAGTCGTTTGTGCTAAGTACCACACAATCAAACTGAACTTTGAAATGGGCCAGTTTCCCAAAAAATAGGAAATTCCCTTAAGTCTGAGTCAGTGAAACAAGGAAGTTTCTTCTGCTTTAACCCTAAAAGTAACTTTGAAACGATGAGTCCACTTTTTGTTCGGTTTCTGCTTTCTTCAGCCCCTATTTGCCAATAAAACCAACCGCCTCTGCTCAGCTGATCAGAACACTCATTCTACTTTATAGAATGAGGTGTTTTTTGATTCTAGAATCACGAATAAGAGTCAATTAAGATTTTTAAACTAATTCGTTGTAATGCTGTCTTTTGACTGTTGTACTACAATTTATTCAAGCAGTCCTTTATTTAGGAATTTGGGGGTAATTTCCAATATTTTGGTATTATGAATCGTGCTGAATAGTCGTGCATGCTCTTTCATATTTTCACCACACGTATTTTTGGGTGAAAGCATGAATTCATCTATGCAATTTTGCTAGATATTAAGCTACTCTTTTCACTATTCCTGTACAGATGGAGGGACAGATGAGACAGCTGCCCAGGGCACTTCAGCAGTTACTGGCATAGCTGGGATTTGAACTGGGATGTAACTATTTTCATACACTCTCTAGGTCATTCCAAGGTGGGAGAGGCAAGCAAATAATTTTGAATCTGGCCAGCATATTCACTGAAACATTTATGCTTATCCTTCCTCCTCCCAGCATACAAGTTCTTCCTTAGCAAAACCTCCAGTCCTCTAATTTAGCATACTTTCGTCTAATCTGTCACTTTCCTCAGGCCCCACAACTACGAGTACTCCTTGTCCCCACCCGGTCCTAATTTGGTCGGGTATAGCGGAGGTGGGCGTAGAGAGAACTGGAGGTGGAGACCTTTGTGCATGCCCACACACTGCTTTCCTCGCGAGGAATCTGGGGCCCTTGCAGAGGCGGAACCAGGATGTGACGTAATAACCGCGCGCGGCGCTCGGCGTTCCCGCAAGGTCGCTTTGCAGAGCGGGAGCGCGCTTAAGTAACTAGTCCGTAGTTCGAGGGTGCGCCGTGTCCTTTTGCGTTGGTACCAGCGGCGACATGACGGGGTACACTCCGGATGAGAAACTGCGGCTGCAGCAGCTGCGAGAGCTGAGAAGGCGATGGCTGAAGGACCAGGAGCTGAGCCCTCGGGAGCCGGTGCTGCCCCCACAGAAGATGGGGCCTATGGAGAAATTCTGGAATAAATTTTTGGAGAATAAATCCCCTTGGAGGAAAATGGTGAGTGACAGACCTCTCCGGTCCCCCCCAACACATCCCACTGCTGCCGGCAGCCTGAACACTGAACGTCCGCTCCCTGCAGCCACACCAAGGACTGATAACGCTCAGTGCTCTGGGACACTGGCCAGTCCCGAGAGTCCTCCTGGAGTCTCGGGAGGCAGGAGTCCAGGAATATGTATGGCTTTGAGAGAATCATGCCTTTTACTGTCAAGTACAGTGGACGGGGGCGAATTTTAATACTTAGGTTTTCCAGGACGCTGCACGTTTGGTTCTCTTTTGACTGTAGAAATCTTCCCTCAGAATAATAACCAAGGACTCGCTAGAATTAAAATTCTGTGATTTAAGTATTTGAGGACACTTGTCTGACTTTTAAGTGTGAGGTTCTAGAGACCAAGTAACACAGTATCCAACCACCAGAGGGCACAGCCAGCCCCTAGCTGATAGTACAGCCCCATGTGATCCCCGTAAAAGACAGGGTCCTGTTGGTATGCCTTGTGAGTCACATTCAAGAGCTACCTTTCTAAACTACCGTTCTGTACTTTTAACACAGTGTTTCATTAAAAAAATCGCATTTTGGGCTTTGAAGAAAATCACTCATTCAAGAACTTTATTTTCAAGGCCTCTGGGTATTTTCTTGAGGACTGTTATGGATGATAAACATCTCAGAATTGCTTTCAGTTACCTGCAACACTTACTGATGACAGGATAATAGTAGTAACAATACTACGTAACACACGGGTGCTTGCTGTGTGCTTGGCACTCTACTGGGGGTTTTACATGTGTTACTTCATTTCTTTATTCCTGTAAGGTAGATATTCCTAATCCTCATTTTAAATGTGAAGAAACTGAGGCCTACAAAGCTTCAGTGATTTGCTGGTGGTCAGGGAGCTAGGAATTGAATATGAGTTCATATTGTAATCAACATGTATCTGATTCTTACTGTGCTACAAAGTCTAGTGCAATAGAATTGTTGAAAATTTTTCTGAGAAAGTGATATTGGATACTTATTTATGGTGGTAAAATTCAACTCTTCTCCCACCCTTTGTATCCCTGACATTATCGGAATATTGGCAGTCACTGATTTAAAGTTGACATCCCATCCATCAGCAAGTGATATAAGGAAGTAAATAAATAATAATGTGTCGAAGTTCACCTTACCTTACTTTAATTTATTCTTTTATAATCATATCTGTTATAATTCTTAGATTCTGGATTGTCCCTTCCTTGAATGGATAGGTGTTTTTTAATCAAGTTGGAAGACATGGGAAAGTTCCATTTTTAGTTCTTTTTTAAAATAGTGTTGCAGAGGGCATTTTGGAGTGAGTTTGGGACACCCCATCTTAGTATGTAAAACGTCCTTTTTCCAGCATTGGCGTTGTCAAGGTTGTCTGCCTTATACCTAAAATGATGTGAGTGTCATTGATCAATAAATAAGGGAGATGACTATACCTGAAAAATTCTGTAGGTTTGATTACTCTGGTTAAATACATTAAAATTATTCTTTCATTATTTTGCTATATTTTATCTTTAACAAACTTATAATAAGGATATTTTTGGAAGTCTTTAAAAAATCTATAAATGCCTTGTTATAGTCTTGCAAAATACTGCTTAAGCATTTTGGTCTGGACTTTGTAGGTATCTTCTAGCAGACTCTGCATTTACTAAGAATATTTGAGTAGATGAGGTTACCTACAGACTATAAGAAAATATGTGCCATTTAGAGTTTTGTAAAATAGTCATGGCATTGTTACATCATTGATGCCTTTTGTTCTGCCATAAATATAAAAAATGGGATATGTTTATTTTGTGTATGTGTTTTTCCCCCCAGGTCCATGGGGTATACAAAAAGAGTATCTTTGTTTTCACTCATGTACTTGTACCTGTCTGGATTATTCATTATTACATGAAGTATCATGTTTCTGTAAGTATGTCCTTTTCAGAATTCATTTTTAATATTGTCCAAAATTACTTTCTTTGTGGCTATCTTACCCTACTTAGTGGAAATAATCTGCCACTTATAAACAGATTTTGAAGTACTTTGAATTCTCTTAGGTAAAAGGTTTAATGAAAGTTACATAATTGGGTATAGTTTTTAAAAAATATTGTCACTAGTTTACAACTTGAAATGGATTTCCTCATAGAAATTAGTATTTAAGTGATAAGAATGTAGTGACCTAATAATACTAGGGTAAATTTGGAGTCATGAATAGGAAGGGAGAAAACAATTCTGCTCCTTTTTAAAAACCTGTATCTCGTATAAGGTAAAAATTCAAAATAGACAAAGCATATCTTTGTCATCACCCAATTTCTGTTCCCTTCATTTTATCTGATTCTTCACAATTTTTATTTATTTAGAACTCAGGATGTCCAGATGCCTGCACTTTTTCACTGATACAGATCTTGCATGGGCTGATGGAACTGAGCCAGTTGTGGTATTTTAAAGGCTTGGTCTGGTGCAGGGTGTTGGATCCCAGGCAGAATGAGAAGGGCATGCATTTTGGGAAGTGGCGTGGCAGAGGGAGCAGTGGTGACTGCGTAGCCTGAAGTGTTGGAGCACAAAAGAGTGAGGAGGGCATTCGTATACCAAGAGAGGGGTGTTAGATCCTCAGTGGGTTGCAGGGGAGGAGGGTGAGCACATCTGTTTGGGGAGCAACAGTGGCAACAGCCTAGTATAGGATATTGGTACCTGAGCAGAGGGAGGAGGACATCTGGAAGAAGGATGGTATGAGGCAGTGAGGCAAGTGGTAACTCAGAGCAAGATGTCAGAACCTGAATGAGGTGAGGCAGGTATTAATGCTGGGATGTGGTTGTGGTGACAGGAGATGGGTTATATATAGGGAGATTGGCCAAATACAGGCATACCTCAGAGATATTTCAGAATTGGTTGTAGAACAATGCAGTTCCAAAAGTATTCTTTGGTTCTAGACCACCAAAACGAGTTACACAAATTTTTTGGCTTCCTAGTGCATATAAAAGTTATGTTTACACTGTGCTGTGGTATAAGTGTGTAATAGCAGTGTAAAAGAACGATGTATATGCTTTAATTTAAAAATACTTTATTGCTGGGCCATGTGTGGTGGCTCCCACCTGTAGCCCTAGCACTTTGAGAGGCCAAGGTAGGAAGATTGCTTGAGGCCAGAAGTTCGACCGGCTTGGGCAACATAGTGAGACTCCATGTTTCCAAAAAAAAAGAAAAAAAAATAGCTGGATGTAGTGGTCCACACCTATAATCCCAGCTACTCAAGAGGCTGAGATGGGAGGATTGCTTGAGCCCAGGATTTCGAGGCTGCAATAAACTGTGATTGTGCCACTGCACTCTGGCCTAGGTGCCAGGTTGATATGCTGCCTTAAAAAGAAAAAACAGGCCGGGCACGGTGGCTCATGCCTGTAATCCCAGCACTTTGGGAGGTTGAGGCGGGTGGATCACGAGGTCAAGAGATCGAGACCATCCTGGCCAACATGGTGAAACCCCACCTCTACTAAAAATAAAAAAAATGAGCTGGGCATGGTGGCGGGCGCCTGTAGTCCCAGCTATTCGGGAGGTTGAGGCAGAAGAATCACTTGAACCTGGGAGGTGGAGGTTGCAGTGAGCTGAGATCGTGCCACTGCACTCCAGCCTGGCGACAGAGTGAGACTCCGTCTCAAAAAAGAAAAAGAAAAAAACAAAAACTTCATTGCTAAAAAATGCTAATGATCATTTGAGCCTTAGTGACTATGTATGATCTTTTTGCTAATGGAAGGTCTTGCTTCCATGTTGATAACTGCTGACTGATCAGGGTGATGGTTGTTGCAGGCTGGAGTGGCTGTGGCAATTTCTTAATATAAGATAGCAGGCGGGGCGCGGTGTCCCACGCCTGTAATCCTACCACTTTGGGAGGCCAAGGCAGGTGGATCACGAGGTCAGGAGTTCAAGACCACCCTGGCCAAGATGGTGAGACCCTGTCTCTACTAAAAATACAAAAATTAGCTGGGAGTAGTAGTGGGTGCCTGTAATCCCAGCTACTCGGGAGGCTGAGGCAGGAGAATCGCTTGAACCCGGGAGGCGGAGGTTGCAGTGAGCTGAGATTGCACCACTGCACTCCATCCTGGGCAACAGAGCAAGACTCCATCTCAAAAAAAAAAAAAAAAAAAATATATATATATATATATGCACACACACACACATATACATACACATATATATACATACGTATATACATATATAAGTATATGTACATATATACATATATATATATGTATATGAGACAACACTGAGGTTTGCCACATCGATTGACTTTTATTTTCACGAAAGATATCTCTGTAGCATGAGATGCTGTTTGATAGCATAGCATTTTACCCACAGTATAACTTTCAAAATTGGAGTCAGGCCTTTCAAACCATGCCGCTGCTTTATCAACTAAGATTATGTAATATTCGAAATTCTTTGTTGTCATTTCAACAATGTTCATAGCATCTTCACCAGGAGCAGATTCCATCTCAAGAAACCACTTTGTTTGCTCATCCAAAAGGAGCACCTTCTCATCTATCAAGCTTTATCATGTGATGGAGGCACTTCAGTCACATGGTCAGGCTCCACTTCTAATTCTAGTTCTTTTGCTATATCCACTACATCGAGTTCCTTCCTGCACCGAATTCCTGAACCCCTCAAAGTCATCCACGAGAGTTGAAATCAACTTCTTCCAAACTCTTGTTCATGTTGATACTTTGACCTCCTCCTGTTAATCACAAATCTTCTTAATGGCATATAGGATAGTAAATTCTTTCCCAGAAGATTTTCCATTTTCTTTGCCTAGATCCATCAGAGGAATCACTATCTTTTTTTTTTCTTTTTGAGACAAGGTCTTGCTGTGTCACTCAGGCTGGAGTGCGGTGGTGCCATCTCGACTCACTGCAACCTCCGCCTCCCAGGTTCAAGCAATTCTCCTGCCTCAGCCTACCAAGTAGCTTTTGATATGAAGTGAGAAACATGCAGCTCTTTCTTTTATTTGAACAGTTAGAGGTCATTGTAGTGTTATTAAATTGGCCTAATTTCAGTATTGTTGTGTCTCAGGGAATAGGACAGTCCAAGGAGAGGGAGAGAGGTGGGGAATGGCCAGTTGGTGGAACAGTCACAACACACAACATTTACTTATTAAATTCACTATCTTATATGGGTGTGATTTGTGTTGCCCCTAAAATTTGTAGTAGTAACATCAAAAATCACTGAGTGCAGATTACCATAACAAATATTAATATAACAATAGTGACAAAGTTTGAGGCCAGGCATGGTGGCTCACACCTGTAATCCCAGCACTTTGGGAGGCTGAGGTGGGCAAATCAGCTGAGGTGAGGAGTTCAAGATCAGCCTGGCCAACATGGTGAAACCCCATCTCTACTAAAATACAAAAATTAGCCGGGCTTGGTGCACGTCTGTAGTCCCAGCTACTGGGGAGGCTGAGGCAGGAGAATCCCTTGAACCTGGGAGAAGGAGGTTGCAGTGAGCCAAGATCGCACCACTGCCTGGGTGACAGAGCGAGACTCCATCTGAAAAAGTTTGAAATATTGGGAGAATTACCAAAATATGGCACAGAGACGTGAAGTGAACACATGCTGTTAGCAAAATGGCACTGAGTTTCTGGGATCGGTTCCCGGCCCATGCCAGTTTTGCAGAGCACACCTGGTGTAGAGCCCTGTGACTGGGGCCTGGACCAGCTTGAGCAGCTGGCCAGCGGGTGCCACTGCCTGCGGGGCCCAGAGGCGTTGAGTACATCTGCAGTGCTCCAGAAGCACAAGACTGTGAAGCTGCGGGCCCTGTGCAGCCCGAGGAAGTTTGGCATGGCGGGCAGGAGCTGCCGGGAGATGCTGCGCAAGGGCTACCTCTGCTTCTAGCTCCCTCGTACGAGGATGGCATGGAGCTGACCGAAGCGTCCTCGACGATGCCGAGCTGGTGCTGCTCACCTCACGCCAGGCCTGGCAGGGCTATGTGAGTGACATCGGGTGCTTCCTCAGTGCTTTTCGCCAGCCGCACGCGTGGCTCATCCAGGCCGCCCGGCAGCTACTGTGTGATGAGCAGGCCCCCACAGAGGCAGAGACTGCTGGCCGACCTCCTGTACAACGTCAGCCAGAACGTCGCAGCCGACACCCGGGCTGAGGACCCGCTGTGGTTTGAAGGCTTGGAGTCCCGATTTTGGAATAAGTCTGGCTATCTGAGATACAGCTGTGAAAGCCGGATCCGGAGTTACCTGAGAGAGGTGAGCTCCTGCTCCTCCATGGTGGGTGCAGAGGCTCAGGAGGAATTCCTGCGGGTCCTCCGCTCCATGTGCCAGAAGCTCCAGTCTGTGCAGTACGACGGCAGCTATACAACAGAGGAGCCAAGGGTGGCAGCCGTCTCTGCACACCGGAAGGCTAGTTCTCCTGCCAGGGTCCCTTCGACATGGACGGCTGCTTGTCAAGATACTCCATCAACCCCTACAGTAACAGGGAGAGCAGGCTCCTCTTCTGGACCTGGAACCTGGATCACATAGTGGAAACAAAAACGCACCATCATTCCTACACTGGTGGAAGCAGTTAAAGAACAAGATGGAAGAGAAGTGGACTGGGAATATTTTTATGGCCTGCTTTCTACCTCAGAGAACCTAAAATTAGTGTTGTCTGCCATAAGAAAACCACCCACAAAACCAGCTATGACCTGAACAGAATCTACAAACCCCAGACAAGGTTGAAGAGGAAGTGGCCTGTGTGAAAGCGCCAGTGACATATACACACCATATTCTCGTCTTTGTTCGAGGCCTGTCGTGGGCATAATTTTAACAGGTGCCTTTTTTTTTTTTTGGTCACTCCAGTAGCTCCTGGAAAAAACCTTAAAAAATATTTCCGGCAAATCTGATTTCAGTACATTTCTGAATCATTGTTTGTTTGTTTGTTTTTTGTAGGTGGAGTTTCACTTTCGTTGCCCAGGCTGGAGTGTAGTAGTGTGATCCTGGCTCACTGCAACCTCCGCCTCCCGGGTTCAAGTGATTCTCCTGCCTCAACCTCCCAAGTAGCTAGGATTACAGGTATGTGCCACCATGCCTGGCTAATTTTTGTATTTTTAGTAGAGACAGGGTTTCGCCATGTTGGTCGGCCTGGTCTCGAACTCCTGACCTCAGGTGATCCACCTGCCTCGGCCTACCAAAGTGCTGGGATTACAGGCGTGGGCCTCCGTGCCTGGCCTGAATCATTTTTTGTACCTTCTGACAGCCCAACTTCCAGAGGACAACTTTGGGGTACTCACTGGATGTCTTGTGAGTCGTCAGTAGGGATAAGAATTGTCCTGAGCTGAGGAATTCTTCTGTTCTCTGGTTTTACCAGTATTTGGTTTGCTCATGTGGTGTGGTCACCATACTAAAACGGTGTCATGGCTGAAGTTAGCCACTCTTGTTTGAGGGACAAGTTGTTTATGCATCAGCTGTCTGCTGGCTCTCCATTTCCATGGCAAATGGGCAGCTCCATCCTTCTTGACTGTTCTAAATGCCCAAAAGAGAGGTGTCATGCTTTGGGGGTAAGATGTTTGTACTCCATAAAGAACATAAAAGGACATTCACTGCTGAATTTTTTTCTTTTTTTTTTTTGAGACAGGGTCTCACTGTGTCTCCTGGCTGGAGTGCAGTGGCGCGATCTCGGCTCACTGCGACCTCTGCCTCCTGGGTTCAAGTGATTCTCCTGCCTCAGCCTACCAAGTAGCTGGGATTACAGGTGTCCGCCACCATGGCTGACTAATTTTTGTATTTTTAGCAGAGATGAGGTTTTGCCATGTTGGCCAGGCTGGTCTTGAACTCCTGACCTCAAGTGATCTGCCTGCTTTGGCCACCCAAAGTGCTGGGATTACAAGCGTGAGCCACCGCACCTGGCCTGCTGAATTGTTTATAATGGCAAAAAGTAGGAAACCTCCCAATGTCTATGAATAGGGCCATAGCTATTATGTCGAACCACATGAAACTGCCGTTTTTCTAGGCCAAAAATGGTGAGCGATCGTTAATTTCATGATTCAACTTGATACATTTACATAGTGCAAAAGGATGTTGTAGTTTCAAGCTTTTATGAAGAAAGTGTTTCTGTGTAGAAACTGGAAGCTGTTCAGTGCACTGGCAGCTGAACCCTGCTCCTGCTCCATTTATCAGAGTTACTATCATCTCAGATAATATGGAGCTCATGTCAGCAGTGCAGGTGGTGAGTGCGCAGAGACAATCTGGAAGGAAACGCTGATCTGAACAGCAGTAATCCTGGGGGACATGGGGGTGGGACTGGATTACAGAGGACTCATTTTCTAAATCATGTATTTTATGATACTTGAATTTTTTTGAAATGGGCATTTATTTAATGACATGTTATAATGTACTTTTTTTTAAAAAAGTGTAATATTTGAATTTTTACATTTGTTGTGTAATCAGCAGAAGCAATAAAGATTTTTCAGAAAAAAGAAAAATGGCACTGATAGAGTTGCTTGTCTCGGGGTTGCTAAAACCTTCTATTTATAAGAAAACACAATATATGTGAAGTGCAGTAAAGCAAAGTGCAATAAAGTAAGGTATGCCTGTGAGTACATATGTTGATGATAAAGGGACACAGGATTCTCACTGCCGGAAAAGGGAGTTACCTATGTGAAAAGGAAGAAAAGTTTGTGGTGGTAGAATGGAATTGGAGGTACTGGTGTGAACTCATGGTTTTTAAAATGTATTGATAGACCTAGAAATAGATATAGATGTAAATGTGGATGTGTGCATGCGTGTTTGTGTGTACATATTCTCTAGCTATGTCCACTGAGAGGACCTGGAAACATTGCCACTCCTTAGTAATTAGCACACTTAGAAGCTAGGTCTTATTTTCTAAATACAGTTATGCACTGAAAGGACCCAGAGCTCAGAGCAGTGGCCAATTCTAGGGCGGGAGGAGAGAAAGTATAAGATGAGCTTGGAACATATTATTGTGCCAGAAAGTAAAGAAGTGCTGAAAGAATGATGGGAACATATTTCAAAGGACACAGAGTCAGCTTGCAAGGACTCCTGCCTGGGCAGTTTGAACTTCAAAGTAAATAATGATAGTAATAGATGATAGTCACCTGAATAAAATGAAAATCCATGAGTGCAAACTGATATAAATAAGTGAATTAATAAATGGGTAGAAAAGAAAGCTTTTTGATGCAATAATTTGCTGAATGATAGAATTAGAAAAATTACCATTTGAGAATCATCATAGTAATATTTAATTCAGCTAAGGAACATCAAAGGATGCTAACATTAGTCTGGGCACAGTGGCTCACACCTGTAATCCCAACACTTTGGGAGGCTGAGGTGGGAGGACTGCTTGAGGCCAAGAGTTTGAGATCAACCTGGGCAACATAATGAGACCCCATCCCTCCAAAAAAAAAAAAAGCCCAATAGTCCCACCTGTTCAGGAGGCTGAAGCAGGAGGATCGCTTGAGCCCAGGATGTGGAGCCTGCAATGAGCTATGATTGTGCTGCCCACTGTACTCCAGCCATCCTGGGTGACATAGTGAGACTCCCATCTGAATCAAAAAAAGAAAATTAAAAAAAAAAGAGGATGCTAATACTAATTTTAAAATACTTATCCTCAAAATATTTAATTTGTTACAAAGAGAGAAAGAGTATCTTTGTAGTAGAGAAATCTGGCAGACGCCACCTTAGTCAAGGGGTCTAAATTAACATTATTGATAATGGGGCAAACTGAAATTATGTTACTTGATAGGCTGCAATAAGAACACAGCATTACTTTTGTGATATTCCTGCCAAAGGTGCATAACTTGAATGTAATTTATTGATTAAATTCATATGAGGAAACAGAAGATAAACCCAAACTGAGGGGCTGTTCTCCCTCATTATTGGCATTATACCTTCAGAAATGTCAAGATCATGAATGTTAAAGAACAGCTTTAAGATTGTTCCAGATTGAGGAAGAATAAAGAGATATGCCAACTAAATGCAATTCTTCATTAATAGGCATAATTGCATTATCTGTAAGAACAGTGACGGTGTTGGCAGTCAGAATTTTAAAGAGCCTGCACAGTCAATGGAGAACATGTCATGTAAGGGGATTTTCTGATAAGTCCAAACAATTATTGAGACAATTGAGAAGATTTGAATGGATTTTTTAGATCAGGTAGAGATAGTAATGTATGAGTGTTAATTTCCTGATCTTGATAGTTGTATTGTAATTATTTTAAGAATATTGTCTTTGCTTGTAGGAAGTATACTAGAGTAATAAACTAGTCAGCAATTTACTATAAAGTGATTCAAGGAAAAAATTATTTTCATTCTTGCAGCTTTATGTAAGTTTAAAATTATTTCAGAATAAAGACAGAAGTTAAGGACTGTCTAACAAATTATAGATAATCCAGTGAATGTTGGCTTTCTGTTAGCCTATTGACAGAAGAGTGAAACAACCAAAATTTTGGGGGGTTTTCAGAACACCCCTGCCCCCAACATAACTTACTCTCTTTGATTGTGTTCTCTATTGATTGTGTAGACTCTTTAAAATTCTGATTGCTGACATCTTTGTTCCGTGTACTAAGCAGATTAAGCCCCTTGATTAACAAGTACGGAGTGCCTAGCATGTCCTCTTCCTTTATTGCTATAGAAAGAATATACAAGACCAAATTCCTGACCTCAAAGACTTTATAGTAAAGTTGGAAGATAGGTATAATTTGGGAAAGAGTACGGAGGAAAAAAGTTAATTCCTGTTAGAAGCAAACATATGGAGTCAGTAATGAACGTGGCCGTATGTACCTAAGACTGAGGAGCTGACTAGAATGGAAGGTCTGTTGACTAGGTAGCCTGGGACCAATTTATGGAAGGTGTTGAAAGTTAGATAGAAGAAGTTGAACTGCATGTGATAGGCAATGGGAAGCTTTCCATTTTTTAATGGGAGAGTGACTTGATGAATGTGATACATTGAGGAAAACAAAGAAAAACATTGAAATGGATGGTGAATTGAAGGGAAGAAAGTTCTGACAGCAGGGCAGATCAGCTGGAGGCCATTGCGTTTTAGTAGATGTCAGTTGAGAATCTGGTTAGGGTGAAGATAGCAGGGATGAAGAAGAAAAATAAAGCCAGAGACACTTCTAAAGGAAGAAACACCTGAAGTTGGTGGTTGATTAAGTTGGGGATAAAACCAAAGTTCACAGTCATTTATGACTGCAAAATCTCTAGCCTTGGAAATTACAAGTAGGGTATTGGAAGGGAGGGCTTTCTGATGATGGGATAGAAGTGAATATTTTAGACTGGGTGTGGTGGCTCATGCTTGTAATCCTGGCACTTTGGGAGGCTGAGGCGGGTGGATTGCTTGAGCTCAGAGGTTCGAGACCAGCCTGGGCAACATGGTGAAACCCCATCTCTACTAAAATACAAAAAAATTAGCTGGGCTTGGTGGCATGTGCCTGTAATCCCAGCTACTCAGAAGGCTGAGGCAGAAGAATTGCTGGAAACCAGGAGGCAGAAGTTGCAGTGAGTCGAGATTGGGCCACCGCACTCTCCAGCCTGAGCGATATAACGAGACTCTGTCTCAAAAAAAAAAAAAGAAAATAGTGAATTTTTTAGGAGCGTGTGCTGCCATGGCAGTTTTGGAGATGTCCAAGTGGACATGGCCTGTCTTATGTGTTAGAAACATGAGATTGTTAGTTCTAAGAGGAATTAGAGTTGGGTTAGGGGATTTTCACATTACAAACCAACACAAACTCTCTCTACAACTATTAAAAAGGGCTAACAATTTGTATATCTAAGGGTGAGAGAATAGTTTGTATTTCTGTTGTTGATGGGCTTTAAAAAAGTTTATGTTCATAAAAAGGCTACTTCATTTCATTATACATCTGTTATGTTTTCACTATTTTGGCATGTAAGACCCTAGAGAAGAAAATATATTACTTTCTGTCAGTGAAAGTTTAACATCCAAGAGTGATTTTTATGTGCAGAAAGAACTGGTTACAGTGACTTAAAATCCAGATTAATGTATGGTTCTTGAGTTTCAAATATAAAAACATATTTTTTTCCTAATTCTTTAAATTCAGTTTTAAAATTCTATTAAACTATGCATCTAGTAAAATAAGAATAATCTCCTTTGTTTTTACTATCTTTGGATTAATTGAAGTTGAACTCTTCTGAAACAATTCCATTTACAAACATAGCTAAATTCTGTTAAATATTTTAAATTGTATTTATACATTTTGTGTGTTCAATTTTATTTCGAAGTATTTATATGGTAAATTTATGATTCTAAGAAGTAATTTTTTTCAACCTAGAATCACAAATCAATTATGCATTTTAACTAGAATCCTAAACCTAATTTTTTAAAACCTCTGTTAGCCAGATTATCTTACACATTACAAACTCTGATCAACAGAATGTATGGAATGTAGCAATGTTTTCAGAACTTTTAAAAGTTGACACATTCACTTATTTATACTCTGGGTTTAACTTACTTTATCATATCTAAATTTAACTACATTTTTCTGGGATCGAAAAGACATTTCTAAGAGAAGCAAATTTAACAAACTGCAGTCACTAGGTTGACAATTTAATACAGTAATGTGGTTGCTTATCTGAGGGTTCACACTTCCAGGTGATTTTTCCTGAGCCATAGATGGACATATTTAGTTAAACATTTTGTGTCAGTAGAGGTCCCAGAGCCACTCACTTACCTTACTTTTTCTCTTGATTTTGGTAGGTAAAGGATTGCATCTTCAATAAGATTGCAACCAGTTTGCTTCAGCTCACTCCTTTGCTGCCTAATTGAATTCTGCATCTCTCAGATGACTTTTCAGTGTCTTTTTGCCTTTTAGCACGTAAAGACATTTTAAAGTGCTCACATTGTATTCTGAGTTTCTCTCATGTTCCAGTTCTCTATGCCTCATATCATGCCAATAATCTTTTAAATTTTGGGCAGTGGTATCTTGTGCAGATGTATATGCATAAAAAGTACATGTATTCAACAATTACTTATGTAGTACCTCTTATGTGCAAGGCATTGTTTTAAAGACCAGGATACAGCAGTGAACAGAGCAGATTGAGTCCCTCCCCTCATGAAATGTTTAGTTTTAGAGACTGGTAATAAATATATAAACAAAGAGGTATATTAATGTTATAGGAGAACAAGTCTATAGAAGAAAAATTAAGCAGGGTAAAAACTAGAGAATGATAAGGCTTGCTATTTTAATTAGGCCTCTCTGAGGAAGTGATCTTTGAAGACAAACATAAATGAAATGAAGATACAGGTCAAGCAGTATTTAGGAGAAGAGCATTTCAGGTAGAGGAATCATGAAGTACAGAGGCCTTGAGGCACAAGCAGGCTTGACTGAATTGGACTCCTAGGAATGGAGCCACTGTGGCTGTAGTAGAGTAAGTGAGGGAGAAAAGACTGGCTTTTTCTCTAAGAATTATGAAACTTTGAGCAGAGTGACATATCTTAAAAGAATCAGTGTACTCTGCCTTGAAGTGTGGAGAATAGACTTTTCATTTGCATAGGAGGGCACAAGTGGAAGCAGGGAGGCTAGTAGGTGCTGTTGTGGTAGTTGAGGTGAAAATATGATAGAGGCTTGGACAAGGCTGGTGATGAGAACCAGTTGGATTCAGGGTATATTCTTAAGATAGAATTAACAGGCTCTGCTGAGGAGTCAAGGTTTCTGTCTTTCATAACTGGGGGAATAAGAGTGTCATTTACTGAGATGGGGGACATGGGGAGGAACAGTTTGGGGATGGGAGAAGTTAAGTGTGGGACCTGGTTAAGTTTGAGATGCCTGTTTGATAGCTAAGTAGAGATGTTGAGTAAACAGTTGGATATGTGAATCTGGAGTTCTGTGAAAGTTTGGAGCTTAAGTTAAAATTTGGGGTATGACCTATTTCTTATTTTCAGAAGAAACTCTTAACACCATAATTAACACAGAGTTAACTTTTATTACAGGAAAAACCATATGGCATAGTTGAAAAGAAGTCCAGAATATTCCCTGTAAGTCTTAACACTTCTGATTTTTCTTTTGTTTATTGTTTTTCTCTTTCCTTTTCCTCCCTTTCCAAGCAATTATTAGATTAAAATGTTCTTTCCTTCTCACTTTCGGTTTAAGTCCCTGTTTTGTGTATTCTTGTAAAAAACAAAACAAAACAAAAAAAAACAGGAAGAAATACCGTGAGGTAACAATTACAGTTCAAATGGGAAGTGAGCACATTTATTTTCAACCTGGCTGTAAAACGTGTTTTGTGACCTTGATTTTCCTAAAGGGAGTTGAAAGTACCAAAAGTTTTTCACTGTGTCCTGTTTCATGTTGGGTAAAGAGCTTAGGGCATGAGCCTAAGCAAACATCCATGCATGGTGACAGCAACTGAATTTCTGTTATTAATTCCAAACTCTCATGTCCTATGGCTTTGTACCTCATTTTCAAGATTTGACCTTAAGTTCTCCATCTGTGAATTTAATATCCACTAATGGGTGTTTTAAATTTTATACTATGGGCCAGGCACAGTGGCTCATGCCTGTAATCCCAGCACTTTGGGAGGCCAAGATGGGTGGATCGTGAGGTCAGGAGATCGAGACCATTCTGGCTAACACGGTGAAACCCCGTCTCTACTGAAAATACAAAAAATTAGCTGGGCGTGGTGGCGGGCGCCTGTAGTCCCAGCTACTCGAGAGGCTGAGGCAGGAGAATGGCGTGAACCTGGGAGGTGGAGCTTGCAGTGAGCCGAGGTTGCGCCACTGCACTCCAGCCTGGGTGACAGAGCGAGACTCCGTCTCAAAAAAAAAAAATGTATACTATGAATGTGTGAGCTATAGTACTAATTTGAAATGAGTTATTTTAGCATTAAAAGGTGACTCAGTAGTCAGTTGGTATTTACTAGCTGTTTGTGAGGTTATTGTTTAGCATAGTAGAATACATACTATGTTCTTGTCTATTTCTAGTCACAGATAATGAACTATCATAACTCAAAAGTACACAATTTAAATAACAAAAGTGTGATTCTTGCTTTAATCAAATGACTTAGTCACAGTAATGATTATCTGTTGCAACAGGGGAATTTTAGGAAGGGCCACCAAAACTGGCCAGCGGTCCCAGTTGGAACGCTGGTTTAAGAAATAGTTGGGGGAGGGGCCAGGCGCGGTGGCTCACGCGTGTAATCCCAGCACTTTGGGAGGCCAAGGTGGGTGGATCACAAGGTCAGAACTTCGAGACCAGCCTGGCCAACATGGTGAAACCCCGTCTCTACTAAAAATACAAAAATTACCGTGCGTGGTGGCGGGCACCTGTAATCCCAGCTACTGAGGATGCTGAGGCAGGAAAATTGCTTGAAACTGGAAGGCGGAGGTTGCAGTGAGCTGAGATCGTGGCACTGCACTCCAGCCTCAGAAATGAGTGAAACTCCATCTCAAAAAAAAAGGAAAAAGGAAAAAAAAAAGTAGGGGGTATCGGGGGCTCATGCCTGTAATTACAGCACTATGGGAAGCCGAGGTGGGTGGATCCCTTGAGGCTAGGGGTTCGAGACCAGCCTGGCCAACATGGTGAAACACCATCTGTACTAAAAAAAAAATACAAAAATTAGCCAGGTGTGGTGGTGCACGCCTGTAATCCCAGCTACCTGGAGGCTGAGGCACAAGAATTGCTTGAACCTGGAAGGCAGAAGTTGCAGTGTGCGGAGTTTGCGCCACTGCACTCCAGCCTGGGTCACAGAGTGAGACTCTGTCTCGGGAAAAAAAAAAAAAAAAAGTGGGGGCCAGGCGCGGTGGCTAACACCTGTAATGCCAGCACTTTGGGAGGCAGAGGCAGGTGGATCACCTGAGGTCAGGATTTTGAGACCAGCCTGGCCAACATGGTGAAACTCCATCTCTACTATTAATAAAAATACAAAAATTAGCTGGGCATGGTGGTGCACGCCTGTAATCCTAGCTACCGGGGAGGCTGAGGCACAAGAATTGCCTGAACCTGGGAGGCAGAGGTTGCAGTGAGCCAAGATTGCGCCACTGCACTCCAGCCTTAGCGACAGAGCACCCTGCCTCAAAAAAAAAAAAAAAAAAAAAAAAAAGTAGGGGATTTCTCCTTTTGTTTTATTGTGTAACATTGATGTGTGTTACAGCCTAGGTAGTCTCAAAATAGGAAATTATCTTGCTGGTTTTTCCAGCTGGGCAATTTATATTTATTTAGTCTTCCATTTATTCCATTTAAATGTTAATTTATTTTGCCATTTACTGTTCAAAGGAAAAGGAGAGCTCTATTCAGAAGACCATATCAGGGATCCTGTAGCATTTCTCATATTTCTGTATTTTTTGCCACTGTGGTTCTTTCTTGTTTCTGTGCCATGACCCCTTTGAGGAACTGAAGAATGCTCATTGTATATATGTTTAGAATAGGACAAGTAATAACAAACTTCCAAATCTCAATGGCTTAACAAAACAGAGGTTTATTTCTTGTTGACATCACAGACTACTGTGAATCAGGTGATCTTCCTCAATCTTACAGCCGTGCCTATCGAATATGAGGTTCCAAGATTGTGATACAAAGATACGGCAGGATGTCTCAGGGGATGATTTTTAGGATCTAAGCTTAGAAGTAGCTTACATCACTTCTGCTCAAATTCTGTTAGCTAAAACTCACTGTCATCTTCCCAAATATTATCTGTGTGCTCTTTGCTATTTCCCAGACCCCTGTTCATGGAGTTTCTGCTACATTCCATCTTTCTAGTCACCAAACAGCTCTTGGCTTCTTTCTTTACCCATGCATAACACACTTAGTCTCTCTCCTTAGGGAGAAATCCCAAAGTCCCATTCCATCATTGCACCCCGGCCCCAAATCCATGATCTCCAGATGATGTAAAATAGTATGTCAGGTTTATATATGACTTCTGTTGATCTGAGGATCAGTGAACTAAGAAGACAAGTTAACTGTATCCTTGTCCCCCAACCACACCCATTGTTCAGTGGTAGAATTTGGATAGCATAGTAGTCACTGGTTCTTGGCAATCCTGAAATCTCACTCCTAACCCGTGTGTGAGAAATTACTTGAATGGGCACTGATTTTGTTTTCTTGAAAGAACACCTTTATCCATCGTTCTTCCTGGTTCCTGGCTCTGTCCAGGGGGTTTGTTCTTTTCATTATCTACCTAGACCACATCTAAATGGTATTGGGAAGCATGCCCTCCTTAGGGGGCTGTATGGGCTTCAGAATCTGCCACCTGCTTGCAGGAGGTTGAATGCCAGAGGTTGTTTTAATTTCAAACATTCTGGCAGGATTCTGTAAACTATATGTTTGGTTTGTCCATCCATTTCCCTTAACATTTAGAAGCATGAAAAGAAAAATATTTGGTAGACATCTAATGTGTTTACTTCTAGTCAGTGTCTCATGCCAGTATCTGTTTTTCCTATACACAGTTACCAGCTTGTCTCATTTCTTTGTCCTTATGCATCTGCCTCTCTCACCTCTGTGGCAGCTATGTGGAGGCCATCTGAGGCAGACTGGTTCAAAGGCTACCTTCATTTTAAACTGATCTTTGCCATAGGGCTGTGTCCCTCTGTTTGAGTTTTATTGGGCTTCTGTTGCTCAGATTTCTTGTGTTAACTTATTGTTTAGGAATTCTGAAGTAGTGTGATTTTTCAATACCACAAGGTCCTGATTTTTTATTTATTTTTTAGATACAGGGTCCTACTCTTGCTCAGGCTGGTTTTGAACTCTGGGCCTCAAGCAATCCTCCTGCCTTGGACTCCCAAAGTGCTGGGATTACAGGCATGAGCCACCATGACTGGCCCAAATTTTTAGATTCTATTAACTTTTTTTTTTTTTGGTCAGGAACAGAAAGTCTCTAGCGTGCACCAAAGTGTTCTCTCGTCCTCTCCATTTTTATGTCGCCTCTCAAATCAGCCACTTTTTGCCTGAGCTCATGCTTCTTAAAGTACATTCCCAAGGCATCCAAGGATCCCAAGGATCCAAACACATACTATAACTTTTTTTCCCAGCTACTTCTTCTAGAACCTCAAGTTCATTAGGCAGTCAGCTTCCAAGTTATAGGAGATATTTTGCTAAATAGTTTGCCACTGCCTTTTGTTTCCATCTTTATCTTTGCTACCAGACTGCTAAGCCAGTGCCCTATAGCTTGATTTTTATTACAGCAGCATTAGTGCCACTTCAAGGCAATGATTTCTATTGGGATAATGCTAGCTGTACTAACAAATTGTTGCCCAAATGTATAATGGCATAAACATATTTATTTTTTCATTGGACTATAATCCTGAGCAGTACCAGGTCAGGGAATGGCAGGGATTGGGGTGGGTATGGGGACAATTCTACTCTTCCCAGTCATTCAGGGACTGGCAGGCTAACAGAATCTATCTTAAACACATGGCTGAAACTGAAATTGAATAATCTGTCTTAAAACTATACAGCTTGTCAGTGGAGGTTCCAAGATTCTTACCACTTGGTTCTGGCTTCAATGCCCATGCCTTTTTGCCCACATCTATATCAAGAATTGAAAAGACATCTGGACCAGCTGCCTAGCCAAAGTTTGTATTCTGTATTCAGTATGTAAGCCAATCAGAAAACTGGTGATTGCGTAACACATTCAGTTGCTGGGGGTACATTACCTCCTTATCTGGAACTGCAGATGTTTCCTTGCAACTTCTTTCTGGGGCCTCCATTTATTGGGGTCATACAAAATAAAAGATTATCCCTTTATCACTTAGAGAACACAATTTTCGTGCCCTTTTTGATTATTTTGTTTCTGAGTGAAAATTTCCCTATTATTTCACTATACCTTAAAATTTTGAATACTGATTGTTCAGATTTAGTCAGCTTCTACTTTGTCTAGGGTCCTTTTAAAGGGAATGCCAGAACTCAAGTACATTTTCCATGTGAGATCTGATGAACATAGAACAGAATAGAACTATCACCTCTGTAGACTTAAGATTTTTGTACTAACTGTATCTTTGTTTTCCTAGGGTGATACAATTCTGGAGACTGGAGAAGTAATTCCACCAATGAAAGAATTTCCTGATCAACATCATTAAAGATTATGTAAAAAGTTAAAAGGCTTATGAGCCTAAGTTTGTTCCTATATTACCATATTTACTGAATTTTCTGGAAAAGTAACTTTAATAAAGTTTAATCTCAGAAATTGTCATATCTGTTTTCAAGCATTGTACAATTTGAGACTGAGTAATTTAACAATAAGTAAAAAGTGGACATGCTAAACAAATATGAGAGACTACCTACTTTTTCTGGTCATTCTTGACTTGGAAAACGGTATGGAAAAGTATTTAGTTACATGTTTGTTTGTTTTTTTCTTACACAGTACTTACACTAATTTGGTATCAGGGTATGCAACAGTGAAATATCACAATAAACAAATGTAAGAACAGCAATTCCATGCACTTTTGTTTTAAGGAAATCTTTCCGGCCAGGCGCAGTGGCTCATGCCTGTAATCCCAGCACTTTGGGAGGCCGAGGCGGGCAGATCACGAAGTCAGGAGATCGAGACCATCATGGCTAACACAGTGAAACCCCGTCCCTACTAAAAATACAAAAAAATTAGCCGGGCGTGGTGGCGGGCTCCTGTAGTCCCAGCTACTGCGGAGGCTGAGGCACGAGATTGGTGTGAACCCAGAAGGCGGAGCTTGCAGTAAGCCGAGATAGTGCCACTGAGCCTGGGCGACAGAGCAAGACTCCGTCTCAAAAAAAAAAAAAGCTTTCCGAATCATTTTTGAAGAATTTAGAAACTTGATTGAAAAGCTTATTCCAACTATGATCTGACACTCAAGACTGTCAGATTTAGGTTGCTGTTAATTTTGTCATGAGAATGTAAAATACTAAAATCTCTAAGTGAAAAATTTGCATACTAGTGCTTGTTATAAAGGATAATGCAAAAATAAACTTGGGAACTTTGCATTATGAATTTTATTTTTATATCTACATAAGCATGAGGGAAAGAACTGTATTTTCAGATAATTAAATCCAGAAGAGTTACAAATTTTCATTCGTCCCAAAGATTTTGTCTGGGTATTTCTTCCTTAGCTGTCGTCTTGCAGACACCATCGAAGCATAGATGATGCAGCCCCAGGAGATTAAAACGATGGCAAGCAGCAACTAAACCAAAAATCGCAAAGGAGGTGTGAAATCTACCTGATATTTCCCCTCGCCCCCGTCAGGTTACCGTTGCCATTGCTAAGGTGGGAATTAAAGTAACAAAGTCGAATAAATGGGGTTCCAGTGGCGGGTACACCCAGCAGCCCTTACGTAAGAAGCGGAAGATCGTATCCTCCAGGAAGAGGCGGAGTCGAGGTGAGGGAGTGAAATGCTTAATTCAGGAATGGATTTTGGAGTTTCTGGGTGCTGAAGAAATAGGGCCTTTCCGCCTGCGGGCCCAGTGAGTCGACACGGTGGGGGCCCGCGATCCCCGGGACTTACCACTGAATAAATCCAGTCCAGCGTGCGACGACTTACTGGCTTCATGGTAAGGAGGCGGCAGCAGTCCGCGGGAGCTGGCGGGAGCTGCGGGCCTTACAGTAACCTCCCAGGCGGTGGCTGCCAGGCGCCAGCAGCCATCTTTTAGCCGGGCACGAGCGCCCGCCCACTCGCTTCGTGCAGCGCTGTCGCTGGCCTCTTCCGCCCGGAGTTGGGGGGCGGTATCACGTGATCGGGGGCCTTGCCCGCCTTTTAGAGAGGGGAATAAACGAGAAAATGTTAAAAATTGCTTTTTTTTTTTTTTTTTTGCCAACTAAGGAGATAGGCGTACCTCCACTGGTTTTCTTTCTAGTTGCAATGCAATATTAATGCAGGATAAGGTGCTGTCGTGTCCATTTAAAAGTTAATTTGAAAAACAATCCACGTTTTAAATATTACGTCTGGCTCTAAAGCTGGAAGAATTAACGCTTTCTCCCCCGCTCCCTCCCCCACGCCTCCCCGCATCTGATACCACACGATTTAGATGGACGTTCGCCTGTTCATCTTTGACGTAAAAATACCACCCACTCTTTTATATGTGACAAATCGTTGTGGGAACCCCTGTAAATCGAGCCATTCTTCAGAAACGTATAGCGTAATGTATATCTCTAAGAAGAAATACGTGGGACGCGTTACCCGCCATAATGTATCAGTCAAGCAACAAGTGTTTGTTGAGCGTGTCTGATGTTCTTGAACTGCCGCGCGTGAGATACTAAGCCCCGAGCACGGCAGTTTGGTGGGCGAGCGTACCAGGTTCAGCTCTAGAATGTTTGGGGCGCTCACATTTGAGGCCTGAGGAGTAGAATCTGGCAACGGGCCGCTTAGGCTCTAGACGTTCTTTATACCTCGCAGTTATCTTAAAAGAGTTTTAGTCTAGATTTCAGGGAGTGGGAAGGGGAAGAGCGGAGAAAAACGTGGTCTGTTTAGGGAGGAGTCCAGGCCCTGTTTTGTTAGGTTGTCCTGTTTCTCCCCAGCCTGGAGGGGATCCCTCTCTGAAGACTTTATAGGATACTGGTTGGGCTCTGGTTTGGGATCCCGTTGGACTCCTGGTGTTGCTTCCGGGAGGCGTACAACAGGAGGTGAGAGACTTCAAGTCCATCTAACAATTCCCCTATCTAGACACTAAAGATAATTTCCTAAGTTTCCGCAGAGTTTGGTAAGGTTGAAACGACATCGAACTAGTTCTCGTGTTTTCCGGGTAAGTTAGGGGCGAACATTCAGTCAGTGTCCCCAGTGGCTGAGTACCAGTAACAAGATGGGGAGGGTCGCGCTGCCCTCCTCCGGGGTCTGGAGCGGCGGGGGAGGGGCCGCATTTGGGCCGGTGCGCTGAGCCCCGCCCCCGAGGCCGGCGTCCATCTGCTGCGCATGCGTGAGGAAGGCGGGTGTTGTGTTTTGATGCGCGGGAGCTGGGGGGTGGGTCTCGCTCTCTGCCCTGCTTCCGAGCTGCCATTGGTGATGAGCCCTTTGCGTCACAGGGGTCGCAGCCGCCGCTGGGGTCTCCGCTGTCTCGCGAGGAGGGTGAAGCGCCCCCGCCTGCTCCCGCTTCGGAGGGTAGGCGGAGAAGTCGCCGGGTACGCCTTCGCGGATCCTGCCGACACCGACCTAGCTTTCTGGGCTGCCGGGAGCTCGCGGCGAGCGCCCCAGCCAGGCCTGCGCCGGCATCCTCCGAGGTGAGTGAGATTCGGAACAATGGGACGCGGGGGTCGGAAGGGCCGTGGGAGTTGGCGCTCCCGCCTGGAGCGGCGCCTCGGGACCCGAGGGTTGCGGTCATGGCCTGCGGGGCTGTCCGGGCCTCGGCGGGCCAGGGCCAGGGCCCCCGAGCGGCTCCTGCGCGCACCTGTGGATTGGTGCGGGCAGGCGAGGGTTGCGCTTCCCACAAGCGCTCCCGAGGGGCGCGAGCCTGGCCGTGTACTGGAAAGAGCTTGGTCTCAGGGAAAAGCAAAAAAGCAATGAGACTGAATCGTGGCGTCACCACTTACAGGATATGTGACCTTGCCTAGGTCCCTTAAATCCCTGAGCCTGTCTGTAAAATGGGAATAACAATATTTAAGTTCGTTGTGGTTATGTAATGCTCATGGTGCTTATCTTAGTCTAGTGGCAGTTCTGAACCAAAGTAAACGACTATCACCGTGGCTTTGGGAGTTGGGACTTGTCTGTGTTGTGTTAAACATTCTGAGCAGAAATTGCCCGTGACTTGTTCATCCATCCATTTACTGCAGCTTTCCTCATGGGTTGCTGATTGTAGGCTGGAAGGGGGCAGTGCTGAGATGAGCCACATAGTGATTTAAGAGGAAAACGGAGTAGACCTTTTGATAGGTAATTTTCAAGATTATTTAAGATAAATTAAGAAACAGCTGCCCAAGATTTAAGTTAATAGTGGTGAGAGCTTTCTGGGTTTTGTCCATGAAATGCAAAGAAAGCTATACAATCAGCTAAAATCAATCATACTTGTCTGGAATGAGTGGTTTTAGAGGCGAACGGTTCCCAGCCAATTCTTTTTGCTGGAATTGGATTAAATTTGATAGGATCTGGATAAATTTGATAGGATCTACTGAGATCCTGTGACTTTTGTATCTTCTTTTGGAGTTGATTAAATGCAGTTCAGAGAGGTACAGTGATTTCTTTAAGGTGGCAAGAGGTAGGAACCAGTTTATTTTTAATACTTGGGTGATCTTTCTATTTCATCTATTCGTGAACCCTTTTTAGTCACTTTGCCTAGAAATATTAAGTATAATAATTATATTAAGTATGATGATTATTTTGTTGTTATAAACTATCCTCTGTCTGGACCCATATAATCAGTTATGGGTGATGAGCTACCGAAATTCACTTCGTGTTCACGTAACATAGAGAACATTGTTGAGTTCTTACTGTGCATCAAGCACTGTGCTAAGGGTTTTTATGAAATATGTCCCGTCACACAACCACCTTTTCAATTCCATTTTAGAATTGAGAAAACGTGAGATTTTGAGAAAAAACTTCCTCCAGGTTACACACCTACTAAGTGGTGGCGATTCTCAGCCTTGGCTCTGCAGCAAAATTAACATCACTCCCGCAAATGTAATCAGCAGATGATTAAATTTTATATACAGTGTATGCCATAGATGACTTTTGATTTTTATTGATTTATTTTTTTTGAGACGGAGTCTTGCTCTTTCGCCCAGGCTGGAGTGCAGTGGCGCAGTCTCGGCTCACTGCAAGCTCCGCCTGCCAGGTTCACGCCATTCCCCTGCCTCAGTCTCCCGACTAGCTGGGACTACAGGCGCCCGTCGCTACGCCCAGCTAATTTTTTGTATTTTTAGTAGAGACGGTTTCACCGTGTTAGCCAGGATGGTCTCGATCTCCTGACCTTGTGATCCGCTCACCTCGGCCTCCCAAAGTGCTGGGATTACAGGCATGAGCCACCACGCCCGGCCATAGATGACTTTTGTAGTAAGTCTAACTTTAATTCTACAGAGCAGTTATACTTCGTTTATATCATTGTGCAGTTTTTCAAATATCCAGTCTCCTGAAATGTAGATTCGAGCTTCCTGATTCTTTATCTCCCCCATCCATTTTCCCTAGACGTGTGTCCATATTAATTAGCTGAAATTTCCCCGAATTGTTATTATCCTTGTTAAAGCCAGATTTGAGGATTTTTCGGGAAAGGGAAGTTTTGGCTTAATCAGTTTATACTAAAGATGGTGAACTTCATTTAGGATTTGGGAGACAGTTTAGGAAGTGTGACTGGAAGAACTGATTGTCTCCTGTGAGGAAATGTCCTAATTCCTAGAGTGCTAGGATGGAAAACCCGTAACACAGGCTTCTTACAGAACCTGAAGCACTGTGTTTTTCATCGGGTCTACCTTTGCTACTTAAATTCAGAACGTCTCTTGCAGATCAGCCACTCTTTTGTGTGTGTGTGTGTGTTTGTGTGTGAGGCAGAGTTTCGCTCTTGTTGCCCAGGTTGGAGTGCAGTGGCGTAATCTCGGCTCACTGCAACCTCCGCCTCCCGGGGGTTCAAGTGATTCTCCTGCTTCAGCCTCCCGAGTAGCTGGGATTCCAGGCATGCGCCACCACGCCCGGCGAATTTTTGTGTTTTTAGTAGAGACCGGGTTTCTCCATGTTGGTCAGGCTGGTCTCGAACTCCCGACCTCAGGTGATCTGCCCGCCTCAGCCTCCCAAAGTGTTGAGATTACAGGCGTGAGCCACCGCGCCCGGCCAGCAAATCAACCACTCTTAATCTGTATCTAGTCATCCCAGTTTTTATGCCTTAATTTGTATTTTTAAACAGCTTTGTTAAGATTACATTCCGGGCTGGGCGCGGTGGCTTACGCCTGTAATCCCAGCACTTTGGGAGGCCGAGACGGGCGGATCTCAAGGTCAGGAGATCGAGACCATCCTGGCTAACACGGTGAAACCCCGTCTCTACTAAAAATACAAAAAAAAAAAAAAAAAAAAAAAATGCCGAGCGTGGTGGCGGGCGCCTGTAATCCCAGCTACTACTGGGAAGGCTGAGGCAGGAGAATGGTGTGAACCCGGGAGGCGGAGCTTGCAGTGAGCCACGATCGCGCCACTGCATTCCAGCCTGGGCGACACAGCAAGACTCTGTCTCAAAAAAATAAAATAAAAGATTACATTCCATCCATAAAGTTCACCCGTTTAAAGTTTGTAGGTCAATGATTTTTTAGTATATTTACAGAGTTGTACAACCATCACAATAATTAATTGTAGAACGTTTTCATCACCCCAGAAATAAACCTCTTTACTGCCCCAGCAGCAGCCACCAGCCTCATTTCATCTCTCTAGATTTGCCTATTCTGGACATTTCATATAAAAGGTATCATACAATATGTGGGTTCTTGTGAATTTTTTTTTTCATTCATTTAGCATAATAAAAAGTTTCATCCATGTTACAACATGGTACCAGTACTTTGTTCCTTTTTATTGCCAAATAAAATTCCATAGTGTGGATAGACCACATTTTATTAGTCTGTTAATCAATTGATGGGTATTTGAGTTTCTCCTTTTGAGGTATTATGACTAAAGTTGCTGTGAATATTCATATACAGTTTTTTTGTGTGGACAAGTTTTCGTTTCCCTTGGGTATATCTAGGTGTGTAATTGCCGGGTCATATGTTCGACTTCATTTGCGTTTTAAAAAACATTTTAATTTAGTATTTAGTGATGATTTTGAAGAGCTAATAACTTATTTGATCTACATGCATTCCAATTGTTTGATGTTTCTTTTTCTTTTTTAAAATAGAGACTGGATCTCGCTTTGTTGCCTAGGCTGTTTCAAATTCCTGGCCTCAAGGGTCTCCTGCCTTGGCTTCCCAAAGTGATGGGATTACAGGCGTGAGCCACCGTGCCCCGCCTCTTTGATGTTTCTGATGAAGACTGTTTGTTTGTTTGTTTGTTTGTTTTGAAACAGGGTCTCATTCTGTCACCCAGGCTGGAGTGAGGTGGTGCAATTATGGCTCACTGCAGCCTGGACCTCCCAGGCTCAGTTAATCCTCCTGCCTCAGCCTCCTGAGTAGCTGGGACTACAGGTGTGCCCATCATGCCCGGCTAAGATTATTCTTTTCAGCTAATGATTCCTGTGTAGAAATACAAGAATGAATTCTAATTTATTATTATTTTTTAACCTGTTATGGAGGACATTACCAGTCATTCATTCACCTTTTACTGTCAAAGTGGTTAACAGGCTTATAAAACTAGAGAAGGGAAGGGTAAGGTTTCATTTTTTTAAAAAAATCATACTTTGTTGAGATTTTATTTTATTTGAACTTCAAGTTTACTACCTAATAATTCCCTTTAATAAATTCATTTTCAGCTGTAATTTTTATGTGAACTGGAAGTGTTCAGAAAACACTAAAATTCTATTTCAGAGAACTAAGTGAAGATAAAATGTATTAACTTGGAATTCACGGGTCTTTTTTCCAAGTCCAGTAATCCCTTCATTATATAGAGGAGAAAACTAAAGTCTAGAGTAATGTGGTTTTCTTCACATTAACTAGAGCTAGTTCTAGGTGAAGCCTGGTCTTCAGTCCAGATCTTTTGATAACCTCTTTGATTCCCTCCCAACTTTTCTCTGTTCCTTCCCTCTACCACACACACAGTCTCTGAACTGAAAGGTTTTTATTTTTATGTGTGTGTTTCTTTAAATTTCTTGAGTAGGCAGATTAAAAAATGTTAAAAGTAGAGGGAAATGCTGAGAAGGTTGTGCAGTATTAGGGTTTTAGACTGTTTATGAACAAAAAAGCAGTATTATGTATTTATAATCCTGCTTTTCCAGACCTTCCAGGACAGTGATGATGTTTTTGCATTTTCAGTCCAGTAAATAGAAGACTAGACATACCTGGACCCCTGAAGAAACGCTTATTTAGCATTAATTGATTCTCTATTAAGTTATGGTTCTGAGAAAGCCAAGATGCCCTAAAGTGAGCAGGTTTAATATGAAAGCTATGGTGGAATACTTGTATTTCAGTCATGAGTTTTTGTTGTGGGTTTTGTTTATTGGTTTTTCTTATAGTTTGTTAAGGCCAATGAGTCTATTTAGAAAATTACAATTCTGTTATTTGATTAACTTGACCCCAGTTGACTAGTGATGGAACCTCCTGTGATAAAGGAGGTGGAGGAAGATGAATATTAGGCCCTGGGAAACCAAGGGCCTAGTAGTTTTTTGTTGTTGTTTGTTTATTTGTTTTGAGACAGAGTTTCACTCTTGTCACCCACTGCAATGGTGCAGTCTCAGCTCACTGCAACCTCTGCCTCCTGGGTTCAAGCGATTCTCCTGTCTCAGCCTCCCAAGTAGCTGGGATTACAGGTGCCTGCCACCATGCCCGGCTAATTTTTGTATTCTTAGTAGAGACAAGGTTTCACAACGTTGGCCAGGCTGGTCTTGAACTCCTGACCTCAGGTGATCTGCCTGCCTTGGCCTCCCAAAGTGCTGGATTACAGGCATGAGCCACCGCGCCTGACTCCCCAATAGTCAATATACTCAAAATGATTAGTATAAAATGCAGCTTTGGAGTTTATGAGATAAAGTCAAAACGCATACTAGATTTCAAGCTCTAGCAAAGTTTTGAGCCAATGTAAACTGATAAAACAAACTAATCTTTAATATTCTAGTCATCCTTATGGGAAAGGATAATAGGGAAGGGGACCAAAAACATGATTTCAAGATATTCTGTGGCCTGACTTTTGGATTAAAGAAAAAAGCTAAAGGAAGGCTTATTAGGAATGCTGAATGGAATGAGTGATTAACTGAATATAATAGTGTAGTAATAATAACAGCTGACATTTACTCAGCACCTACTGTGAGCCAGGCACTGCCTCTTGGCTGCTTTTTCATTTATTATTTAATCTTCACTAAAAGTTTCCTCTCCCTTTTTAAAATTAGCTTTCTAAGGTTGAAAAAAGAATCTTTCACTAAAAATCATAGGATTGGTTTAAACAGGTGAACTTTCTGGTATGTAAGTTATGTCACCAAAGTTGTTTTAGAAAAGTACATACAAAATATCACAGATAAATCAGTAGTCTGTATTGTTAGTGGCATATGTATATGAAAGGTATAAAGCCATGCATAGAAATAACATCAACTGAGGAGTGTGGTGTTTTTGTTTTTTGTTTTCTAGAGAGTGATAGGAGGGGAAGATAAGGGGCATAACATAAGTGGTGGATACATGGGTATTTGGTACTTTTTTTTTTTATATGTCAGATATTTCTCAAATTATTTTTAAAAAGAATAATAGAATGTTACATAATATTTGAGAGCTTTACTATGTAGCAGGTGCCTTTTCTAAGGGCTTTTTACATCTTCACAAACCCTGTAAGGCAGATTCTGTTATCACTGACCTGCAGATGAAATTAAAGCACAGAGATACTAACTGGCACATAGTCACGCTGGTAGTGTGGAACCAGGATTCAGTCTTAGGAAATCTGACTTCAGAGCTTATGCTTTAAGCACTATATTACTATGCTACAGTGCCCCTTTATAAAATAAAACAAAAGTAATGGGTCACTTAAGTATTTTCACCAAAATAAGTTTCAAGGTCTTTATTTGCATTTTTGTTGAGACTATTTAGTCATTCCTCTATTATCAGGTTACTGATATATTTCTTTCCCTTTTACAGATAATGGCATCAGCTGCTAAGGAATTTAAAATGGACAACTTTTCACCTAAAGCTGGCACTAGCAAATTGCAACAGACAGTACCAGCTGATGCATCTCCTGATTCTAAGTGTCCTATATGCTTGGATAGATTTGATAATGTGTCTTACTTAGATCGCTGCTTACATAAGTTCTGTTTTCGCTGTGTACAGGAGTGGTCAAAAAACAAAGCTGAATGCCCACTATGTAAACAGCCCTTTGATTCTATTTTCCATTCTGTGAGGGCAGAAGATGACTTCAAGGAGTATGTCCTAAGGCCTTCGTATAATGGTTCTTTTGTCACCCCTGATCGACGATTTCGCTACCGTACAACTCTGACAAGGGAACGAAATGCTTCTGTGTATTCACCTAGTGGTCCTGTGAACAGAAGAACAACAACTCCACCGGATAGTGGAGTACTGTTTGAAGGGTTAGGCATTTCAACAAGACCTAGAGATGTTGAAATTCCTCAGTTTATGAGACAGATTGCAGTAAGGAGGCCAACTACGGCAGATGAAAGATCTTTGCGGAAAATTCAAGAACAAGATATTATTAATTTTAGACGAACTCTTTATCGTGCTGGTGCTCGAGTTAGAAATATTGAAGATGGTGGCCGCTACAGGGATATTTCAGCTGAATTTTTCCGTAGAAATCCAGCTTGCCTTCACAGATTAGTCCCCTGGTTAAAACGTGAACTTACAGTTCTTTTTGGAGCTCATGGATCTTTAGTGAATATTGTCCAGCATATTATCATGAGTAATGTTACTCGCTATGACTTGGAGAGTCAGGCATTTGTGTCTGATTTAAGACCATTTTTACTTAATCGAACTGAGCATTTTATACATGAATTTATCAGTTTTGCCCGATCTCCTTTTAACATGGCAGCCTTTGACCAGCATGCCAATTATGATTGCCCTGCTCCTTCATACGAAGAAGGCAGCCATTCTGATTCTTCAGTCATAACAATATCTCCAGATGAGGCTGAGACCCAAGAGCTGGATATTAATGTAGCCACTGTTAGTCAGGCACCATGGGATGATGAAACTCCAGGACCATCTTACTCAAGCTCAGAGCAGGTACACGTTACTATGTCTTCTCTTTTAAATACTTCTGACAGTTCAGATGAAGAACTTGTCACAGGAGGAGCCACGTCTCAGATACAAGGAGTACAAACCAATGACGACCTAAATAATGACAGTGATGATTCTTCAGATAATTGTGTCATTGTTGGGTTTGTTAAACCACTAGCTGAGAGGACCCCAGAACTTGTTGAACTGTCCTCTGATTCTGAGGACTTAGGTTCTTATGAGAAAATGGAGACAGTGAAGACACAAGAACAGGAGCAATCTTACAGTTCTGGTGATAGCGATGTTAGTAGATGCTCATCTCCACACTCTGTCCTTGGAAAGGATGAACAAATAAATAAAGGTCATTGTGATTCTAGTACAAGAATCAAATCAAAGAAGGAAGAGAAACGATCTACATCATTGTCATCTCCCAGAAACCTGAACTCATCTGTAAGAGGAGACAGAGTATATTCTCCATATAACCATAGACACAGAAAGAGGGGAAGATCAAGAAGTTCAGATTCACGTTCTCAGAGTAGAAGTGGGCATGATCAGAAGAATCATAGAAAGCATCATGGGAAGAAAAGAATGAAAAGTAAACGATCCAGAAGCAGGGAAAGTAGCAGACCTAGAGGGAGAAGAGACAAAAAGAGATCAAGAACTAGAGATAGCAGTTGGTCCAGAAGAAGCCAAACTCTGTCTCTAAGTAGTGAAAGCACAAGCAGATCAAGGTCTCGTAGCAGTGATCATGGTAAAAGAAGATCACGGAGCAGAAATAGAGATCGTTATTATTTAAGAAATAATTATGGAAGCAGATACAAATGGGAGTATACTTATTACAGTAGAAACAAGGACAGGGATGGGTACGAATCATCTTACAGGAGGAGGACTCTGTCCAGAGCTCATTATTCTAGACAGTCTTCAAGTCCAGAATTTAGAGTTCAGTCCTTTTCTGAAAGAACAAATGCTAGGAAAAAAAATAATCACAGTGAGAGGAAGTATTACTACTATGAAAGGCACAGATCAAGGAGCCTGTCTAGTAACAGATCAAGGACTGCATCTACCGGGACTGACCGGGTGAGAAATGAAAAGCCTGGAGGGAAACGAAAATACAAAACACGGCATTTGGAGGGTACTAACGAAGTGGCTCAGCCATCTCGTGAATTTGCTTCTAAAGCAAAGGACAGTCATTACCAAAAATCTTCATCAAAATTGGATGGAAACTACAAAAATGAGAGTGATACCTTTTCAGACAGCCGATCATCAGACAGAGAGACAAAACACAAAAGGAGAAAAAGGAAGACCCGGAGCCTAAGTGTAGAGATAGTTTATGAAGGAAAAGCTACTGATACAACTAAACACCATAAAAAGAAAAAGAAGAAACATAAGAAGAAGCATAAGAAACACCATGGAGATAATGCTTCACGTTCCCCAGTTGTAATTACCATTGACAGTGACAGTGATAAGGATTCTGAAGTAAAGGAGGATACAGAATGTGACAATAGTGGTCCTCAAGACCCTCTACAAAATGAGTTTTTGGCTCCTTCCTTGGAACCATTTGAAACTAAAGATGTAGTTACAATAGAAGCTGAATTTGGTGTGCTGGACAAGGAATGTGATATTGCCACACTTAGTAACAACTTGAATAATGCCAACAAAACTGTAGATAATATTCCACCTCTGGCAGCTTCAGTTGAACAAACTCTCGATGTAAGAGAAGAGAGCACCTTTGTTTCTGATTTGGAGAACCAGCCCAGTAACATTGTGTCTCTTCAAACTGAGCCATCAAGGCAATTGCCATCGCCACGGACATCATTAATGTCAGTATGTCTTGGTAGAGACTGTGATATGTCTTAAAACTGCCAAAGCATTTCATTGAGAATTATGATGTTATAAAAAGGAAAAAGGAAGAATGTCGTCTACTGCAGTCTATTTAAAGATGACATTTGGTGAAAACTCTCTTCCTCCTTACAATATTTTAAATGATTTTTTTTTTGGTGTTAATTTGTAAAAATCATTATTTGTTCAAAATGTATGTCCCACCCTCAAAGATATGCACTTTTAAGTGAAGAAAATGATACTGCTAGCAGCTTATTTAAAACTTGGGGTCCTTTTTAAATAAGAAAAATTATATAAATTTTAGAAGTTATTTCATAAAGCCATACGGTATTGACATATTTTTAAGGTAGTCAATGAGTATTTTTGAATTTTTTTTTTTTGAGAGTTATTCTGGAAATGTGTTATAAGCTAGGAGAATCCCTTTGGACAGTCTTTATTTTTCTTCTTAAAAATTTATATGATTCAAAACCATTTCTTCAGGTTAAATTGAGGCATTTTAATCTGCACAGTTTATCTTCTGCCAAAATAAAAATTTACTATTTCCTTTATATACTTGTTTATCTGGACTGCCAGTAAAACAAATGTGTATTCAACAAAAGAAAAAAAATAAAACAGTAACACTTTAAAACAAGAATCAGACATTTTCCTATGCAGTATTTTTTTTTAAAGTTTATTTTAGTAAAGTTAAAATCTTGAAAGTAGCTAAGGGCATAATTATGTCATAAATACTGAACTTCAGGTGAACAAATACTTTATAGTTTTAATTATTTTCTTTGATTTTGAGGAGTATCTTATTTGCTTTCTATCATCAGTAAAAACAGCATTTAACTTGCTAAATAAACATGAAAAACCCTTGTCATACTTCTTTTACATTGGTAGTTCTTTCATATAAAGTGGTTATGTTTTATCTTGTTTTAGGGATGATAAAATTACATCTATGCTGATGTAGGATTGCCACTGAACAGTGGAGCTTGAGTTAAATCTTAATTCAGCCTTCAGTTTGCCTTTGCCTTGCTACTGTATTCATTCTTTATTCAGTAGAAATTGCAGTGCCTACTATGTGGCAGGTTCTGCACTAAGTTTTGGGGTTTTTTTTTTTGTTGTTGTTGTTGTTTTTTTTTTTGAGTTGGAGTCTGGCTCTGTTGCCTAGGCTGGAGTTCAGTGGTGCAATCTCACTTCACCACAACCTCTGCCTCCCGGGTTCAAGCGATTCTCCTGCCTCAGCCTCCGGAGTAGCTGGGACTACAGGCACGCGCCACCATGTCCGGTTAATTTTTGTGTTTTTAGTAGAGGCGGGGTTTCACTATGTTGGCCAGACTGGTCTCAAACCCCTGACCGTGATCCGCCCGCCTCAGCCTCCCAAAGTGCTGGGATTACAGGCATGAGCCACTGCACCTGGCGGTTCTGTTTTATCAATAGAGCAAAGCAGTTATGCTCCCTGCCTTGATGGTGCTTATGGACTGTTAAGACAAATATTTATGTAAGTATAACATTATAAACTATCATACATTCTCTGAGGAGAAAGTATAATTCCCTTACAAGTGAATGGGGATCTAATCATGATTGGACGTAATAGTTGAATCCAGAAAGCAAGCCAGCATTAACGGGGGAGGAATTGCTGTTGGCAAAGGATCCAAAGGCAGATGAAGAGCCTAGCATATTCCAAGAACTAAAAGCAGGATTAGACAAAGGACAGGGTGGGAACAGTCTTGGTAGGCCATGTTTAGAATCCGTTATTCTAAGGACAGTAGAAAATTGTCTAAGAAGAATCTAAAATTGATGTTGGCAATTTTTAAGTAAGCTCAGACATTGAGAAATTGTGGGAAGACTATAGTTGATCAAGAAATACACATTAAGTTTGAAATTACTTTGTAGTTAACAATGTAATTTTTCTTAAGTATTAAAAACAACACTATTCCACATAGTAATTTCACATCATGTTTTCCCTTAAACATTTAATGAAAACAATACATGGCACATCATCCTTTTGGGTGTTCAAGCCAAAAATTGCCAAGTCTTGATTCGTCCCTGTCCTTCAGCCCCCCTCATTCAGCTGCCAAATCCTTGGCACTAATGATTTTTATGATATTTCTATTGTGTCTGTAGCATTCACATCCAATCTGGGTAGCCAAGATCTTTCATCTGTGCTACCATAATGGGTCAGCTTGCATTCATTGTTGGTCTGCACCCGCTCCTTTCCCCCATCCATTTGTGATGCAGCACTGAAAAGATTTTTTTTTCTCTTGAGACAGTCTCACTCTGTCGCCCAGGCTGGAGTACAGTGGCACAGTCTTGGCTCACTGCAACGCAAGCTCCACCTCCTGGGTTCAAGTGATTATCCTATCCCAGCTTCCCGAGTAGCTGGGATTACAGGTGCCCACCACCACGCCCGGCTAGTTTTTGTATTTTTAGTAGAGACGGGGTCTCACCGTGTTGGCCAGGCTGGTCTCGGACTCCTGACCTCAGGTGATCTGCACGCTTTTGCCTCCCAAAGTGCTGGGATTACAGGCATGAGCCACCGTGCCCTGCCGATCTTTTTAAATTTTCATTTCATCTGCTTCTTAAAATCCTTCAGTAGCTTCCTATTTTCTTAGGATATTAAAAGCAGACAAAAAAATCCAACAGCATGATATGGTTTATAGATTTCTGCCTAATTAGGCTCTGGCCCATCTTCAGCATTTCTGTCACTTCATTTGGGCTCATGCCACGCTAGGCTGCTCCAGGGCTATGGAGGTGCTGCTCCGTACTACGTGAGAGCTTTCATTCGTGGCAGTTTCTGCTGGAAACTGAACTCCACCCTGGCTAAACTAGATTTCTGTTAAAAGTGTGCCCTCTTCCCACCTCCCCAAAACTGCTTCAAACAACTCCAGGCTCCTTCAGACCACTCATCACAATTAGCAGTTGATTACTAAATGCCTTATCTCCCACTAGTCTGAAAGTTCTGTGAAACTATGTATCAGTGTACTGCTAGACTCTTTCACTACTTGACAACCAACATGCTTAAAACACTGGGTGAATGAATGGGACCTGGAGAATTTGAAAATGGGCTAAGGCCTGCTTTCAAGAAGCTCCACTATCTATAAACTTTTAGAATAATAGTATATTCTTTTAACATGTTCATCTGAATTCAGTGTCCATGCCATTTTATTTTACCTCAGGTTCTCAGTGTAGTGACTTGTCATTTAATCTATGTAAGAAATGTAACTAAACCATTCATGCTTCCTTACTCATGATCATGATCCTGAGGTTCACAACACGAAAATTTGTTACTACTTTTTACCTCCTAGTCCAAGTAGTGGAGTTCAGTCTTCCCCAATTTCTAGGCTAGCCAATCTAAAAGGCCTCACTAACTCATCCAGTCTGTAGTAAAGATGGGCAGTGTGTACAAAGGGGTTTACAGGAGGCAAGCTGACAACCCACACTGGCTGGGAATTCTTCCCTTGTGAAGAATAATTGCAGTCCCCTGCCAGTGCAGGATGTAGACATGCTGAGCAAGCCAGTAGCACATCTCTGGATGCAGAAAAAATTTTGGAAGGTGCTTTGGGGTGCTGGAACCCAAGTGTGATCTGGTTTAGGCTGTTGGGACTCCCAGTATTCCCACCAACAGGGGCAAGGAATGGGAAGTGGAGAGGGAGGAGTTTCCCTGTGTCAAAACCCTTGATTTCCTCAGCATTCAGTGTGGATGCACCTTTAGAAGAGTATAGAGTTTAGAGGGGTATAAAATAAAAAGGATATGCTTTGTTTTTGTTTTGAAACTTAAAATGGGAGGGAGAGAGGAACCTTTTTTGGAAGAGAGCCCCTTGAGAAGGAAAGGTTGACTAATGAAACAAAGTTCCTGAATGAGAAAGATGGTCCAGAGCACAGAGAAATGAAATTAGCAATGGACAAGCAAAGGCAAGTCTTACTATAAAATGGCAGGAGGTAAAAATAGACAAAAAAGCATTTGTGGGTAGATGCATTAAGATGAGGTAATACATGCCCTAAAGCCTCTCCTTGCTCTATGAAGTAGGAAGAATGCCATCTTCTGAGAAGGTTGGATCATGAGGAGGAGTGGAAAAAATGCCCCTTGAAAGGCACAGAGAGAGGGTTAAGAATTGCTGATTAGTGTTGAGGCCTCACCTGAGATGGGATATTTGAATTTGTGGGACACTATGATTTGTGACTTCTTTTTGTCCCACCAGCATTCAACATTGGAAGTAGAAGCAGAAACTAATGTTGGACCTATAGTATTCATTTAGTATTTGTACTGAGCAAATGAATAAATGGGTGGATTTATGATTGGATGTTCTGGATGTGAGCAGTAAAAGGACAAAGGGGCAAGGGAATTGAGGGATAGAGTGGCGAGAGTAGCGGAATTGATGCATTCTGTTACCTAGGCTGAGTAGGGAGGGAAGTGAAGCTATGACATGGCCAATATACTTGGAGAACAGGGAGAGTATCAAGGGATTCATTTTCCAATGGGGTTCCAGTAGGTACAAGGGCAGGAGTAAGAAGACAAAATATATATATTAGAGAGTGCCTAATTGTAGGCATTGTTGGAAGTAGGTGACTGAAATTGAAACAGGTGAAGCTGAAGGTGACTGGAATTGAGAATAATGATCTGCGAGGCTGTAGGTATATCCTCAACAAGAAAGGCATTCTGTGATGGCAGGAGATACAGGATGGAGAAGAAAATAGTTGTATTGTGATTATATCTTCCTTTAAACTATATTTGTCTTCCTCCACAGCAGCAGGCATGCAGAGAAGATTTAAAATGTGCTGAATAAATGATTATTTCCTCATTCTTGGTTTTTAGTCAAAACCTGAATCAGTTATTAGAAAACTGTGGGATATGGCCATTTTAAAAAATACAGTAGGATTAGTTGTTACAATGTCATGAAAATCGGTAAGTTGTTTCCTATTTTACCTGCAAAGATATTGGGCGATGGTAAATAACATTGGATCTGTCCTTGAAGAAAGCAAGAGGCAAGGAAATGGAGTTCAAATTAGGCTAAGCTCTGAGGCCAAATTCCTACCTGTAGAATCTGTAACTGTGGTTGCTCTAGAACATTGGGTAATAAGGGGGCAAAGTTAGGCATCTTCTACAATTTGCTTGGAGTAGGCTGGTTCCAGCTTATCTGCATGACTGCACTGTAAATAGGTAAATAGTTCTCTCCTGGACAAGGGGATATCCCTTTGCTTTTCTATTTGTAAAACTCATTTATTCATCAGGCATTGAGTACATAGAGTCCAAGAGTATTCTAAATGCTAGGGATATAAGGATGAATAGGATGGAACTAACAGGAATCTTAAAAAAGGTAGGAATGGAACAATTAGATTTGTTCTTAAGAAACAACTAGTAGTAATGTAGAAGAAGGTTTTGAGTAGGGAAAGCCTCAGAAAAAGACTGTTTAAGAAGGTCTTGTCTTGATGCAGTGGTTCATGCCTGCAATCCCAGCACTTTGGGAGGCCTAGGCAGGAGGATCGCTTGAATCCAGGAGTTTGAAGCTGCAGTAGCCATGATCACGCCACTGCACTCCAGCCTGGGTGAAAACCTGTCTCACACACAAAAAAAAGAAAAAAAAAAAAAGCTCTGACAAGTAGCTCAAACCAGATATCAGAAGGGCCTGTACAAGAACAGGGACAATAAGGATCCAGAGAAGGGGCTAGATTGGAGATTTCTGAGGTACACAACACAATATTTGGGTACAATTTAAATGGAGATGGGCTGTGAAGGAGAGGGAAAAGTCTGGGATGACCAGACCTTTTTTTTTTTTCAATATGAGAGTTGGATGCATGGTGATACCAATATCCATGGCGAGAAATAGGAATAGGAATAGGAATAGTCTGGGGAGGAAAATTAGTTGTTTGAAACGAAGCAGCCTGGAGTTGTGCTATAGTAGCTGCTAGCCATATGTTGATATTAAGCACTTAAAATGCGGCTGGTAAAACCTAGGAGTTGAACTTTAAATTTTATTTGGTTTTAATTAATTTAAATAGCCACATGAGGCTAGTGGCTACCACATTCTTTATTTTTAATTTATTTATTCTTTTTAGTTGGGTTATGTTTCTAATCCACTCTTTTTTTTTTTTTTAATGTTGTAAAGGTATACAACATTCCCACCATCACAGATGAAATAGAAGATACTCATCAGGAGGAAAATTTCCAGTGGGCATCTGAAAATTGGAGTGTGAATCTTGGAGGCAAGATTGGGGCTAGAGAAATGATTTAGGAGTTGCTGTGAAACAGAGTAGTACTGAGGCTGTGGGAGGATGAGATACTCCAGAGAGGAGGTAGAGCAAGAGAAGCAGACGTAAGTGAGAATTCTAGGGAACATAATATGAAAAGTTGGCTGGCAACAGAAAAGAAACTTTCAAAAGAGGCCAAGAAGTGTTTCCCATAGTCCCACATACTTTCTTTGCCTCTTCAATTTTATGTTGTGTCTCCTGTATCTAATACAGTGCCCTCGTCACTATGGAACATAGACTTTTTGAGAGGTTAATCTTATTTTTAGGTTCTTGGGAGCACCTCACTCTTACTTTCATGTGATGATTATGTTAGAAACCGTTGCCTTGGTGGAGCAGGTTAGGCTGCCTCCAAGGAAATCTAATAGGATTTTTAGAATATAGGACTGGGAAGTACCATCTTTAGATTCTACTCTATCAGTCACTCTCCTTTGCTTTCCTTCATGTCCAGTTATGATTTTCCAGATAATGTTTTAATCACTCTCCTTGCAATACCCTCCAACTCACTTGCCCTTCTTTCTTTCATCATTTACCTACTTTAGGAGTTGGGAAACTTTTCCTCTAGGGCCATACACAGGCTGTGTCACATAATCTTTGTTTTTTTCTACACTTTTTTTCAAATTGAGGTGGAGCTTTGCTTTGTTGCCCAGCATGGTCTCAAACTCCTGGGTTCAAGCAGTCCTCCCATCTTGGCCTCCCAAAGTGCTGTGATTACAGGTGTGAGCCACCATGCCTGGCCTACAACACTTTCTAAATGTTAAAACAATTTTTAGCTTTTGGTCTGTACAAAAACAAGACACGTGCCAGATTTGGAATGCAAGCTGTAGTTGGCCTACAGTTTACCTAGCAAGATCTCAGTCTGGATGAACCCAGCTCTTCGGTTCTGCGTACGTGCATGCTGCTAAGTATTGTGAAGGAAATCAGTAACTGGTAACCGTGCAGATTGGTGTACATCAGCTTCATAAGCTGTACGACATTAGAGGGCAAGTTTTTGTAGTATTCTTGCTCATTGTATTTGACAAAATGGCTTCTTTACACCTTTTTCTCCTCAAACCTATTTCTCTCTACCACCCATATATTTTAGAGATAGGATTGAGTGACTGGCTGGGCAGTTATGATCAGCACAGGCTCAAACAGAAACCCTGCCTGTTTACCAAAACCAGTATCTGCGTCATATTAGTTCTTAGAGATACTGCCTGCCAAGACTGTCTTGACTGGCATTCTTGTGTGTCTTCAGTCAGCTTGTAGGTCGGCTGATCTAAGCCTTCACCTGGGGTTACTGGGCTCTATGTGGTTTCTCATCCTCCAGCACATTGGCCTGAGCTTGTTTACGTGATCTGACCAACTCATCTAATATAAGCAGCCCCATTACTCCTTATTCCTTTTTCTACTTTATTTCTCCTCACAGCACTTATTACTATATAACATCTACTTTTCTGTCTGTCTCCCTCACTAGAATGTGGTAAGCTCTAAAGCCATATTCTCCACTTTAGTCATGGTAATACCATTCTCCCAGTTGCTCAAACCAGATACCTGAAATTTATCCTCGATTTTTCTCATTCCTTTCCTCTGCCAGCCACTCAATCCTGTCTCTAAAATATATCTCAATTAACTTCTTACACTCTCTGCCACAGTGTCCTTATCTATGCTGCTCAGCATCTCTTACTTGAGTCACCTCCCAACTGATCTCATTCTGGCTAGGAGCCAGAGAGGTTTTTAAAAAATGTAATCAGATTATGCTATTCCTTGATTAAAACCCTGCAGTATGGCCGGGCGCGGTGGCTCACACCTGTAATCTCAGCACTTTGGGAGGCGGAGACCATCCTGGCTAACACGGTGAAACTCTGTTTCTACTAAAAATACAAAAACAAAATTAGCCTGGCATGGTGGTGGGCGCGGGAGAATGGCGTGAACCCGGGAGGCAGAGCTTGCAGTGAGCCTAGATGGCACCACTGCACTCCAGCCTGGGCAACAGAGCAAGACTCCATCTCAAAAAAAATAAACAACAACAACAACAACAACAAACCCTGCAGTATGTTCTCACTGCACTTCATTCCTTGCATTAAAGGTGCTGCTGTTTCAGCTCCACTTGCAATACCATTTACTTGTTGCTCACAGAGTTCCAGCTACAAGCATCTTGCATCTTTCACTTTTTTTAAAAAACTCTTCTGTGCATTCTGTCTCCTACCTGCTTTTTTTTTTTTTTGAGACGGGGTCTGGCTCTGTTGCCCAGACTGGAGGGCAGTGGCGTGATCTCGTGATCTCGATTCACTGCAACCCCTGTCTCCCAGGTTTAAGCAGTTCTCCTGCCTCAGCCTCCCGAGTAGCTGGGACTACAGGTGTGTGCCACCACACCCAATTTTTTGTATTTTTAGTAGGGATGGGGTTTCACCATGTTGGCCAGGCTGGTCTCAAACTCCTGACTGCAAATGATCCACCCGCCTTGGCCTCCCAAAGTGCTGGGATTACATGTATGAGCCACTGTGCCCGGCCTACCTGCTTTTTTTTGAATAGCTAATTCCTTCTCATTCTTCAGGATTCAGCTGAAATGTGACCTCCTCAGAAAGGTATTCCCTTACCACTGTACTGAAATAGTTTTCTCCATGTCACTTCACATTTGGCAGTTACTATTTGTGTTTTTACATCTTTATTGTGTCTTCTTCCTCCTTCAATCAGACTCTAAGCTCTTGACAGAGACTCTTTTCCACTTATCTCCATGTATCTAGTGTTTTTCACAGTACCTGACATACAGTAGATATTCTGTAAATGTGTTGAGTAAATTAATGCCCAGGTGAGGAGATGGTCTAAGACTGAGATTTTTTTTTTAATTTTTAATTTTTAATTTTAAGTTCTGGGGTACATCTGCAGGATGTGCAGGTTTGTTACATAGGTAAATGTGTGCCATGGTGGTTTGCTGCACCTATCAACCTATCACCTAGGTATTAGGTGATAAGATATCACCTAATCCTTCTGTGATCTTATCCTTCTGTGACACTCCCCTTCTTTCCTGGCCTTGGTCAAATTTTACCTATGAATCTGTCAAATGATTCCATTTCTGGACCTTCAGTTCTTTCAGGTATAATCTATACTGTAATTGTTGATGTTTTCTAAATCTGTTGTTATTCAGGAATACATTATTTCCCACTAGTAGCATAGAAGGAGGCATGTCTTTACCTTTTTAAAGGAATTTTGGATCTGATTTCTTTTTCTCAGCTAAAACCCAAATCCAGGTATTGGAAGAGTAGCTTGCATGAGATAATAATTATAAACATAGGCAAAACATAAGGGTATAAAGAACTTGAAGCCACTGGAGGGCAATCAAAAAGCAGAAACTGGAGGGAATTAGACCCTTGAAAGACGGAGATGACACTGTATAAGAACAGTTTCTTTGGCATTTCATCTGAGGGTCATCCCCGGTCCATAGGGAGACTAGAATGCAAGCAGAGAGCCACAGACATTGTGTCAGAAGATGGACCCTGGGGCTGCCCGAGTGACTGCATTTTGAGGGAGAAATTTCAGAAAGTAGACACAGAAAACAAGCCCTAAAATTTTTGTATAACTTTCACTCAAATCTTTACCTGACCCTGAAATGTACATGTGCAGGGAAGATTCCAAAAAGCCCATGTAAGCAATAGCTGGAAAGCTAAAAGGGCTCAATAGATACATTTCAGCCACCACCACAGGGAATATAGAACTTGGAGGTTGAATCCCACCAACTTAGATGGGCTGAGAAACATGTAGGACTTTTCACTGGAACATGCAGGGCCACAGCTTACTGTGGAAGACTATGACTCAGGACTAAGGACTTACCTTGCAAGAAGGGCAAAATTTGAAACAGACCTACCACAGTGTGTAAACAATGCCTTTGTAAGTTTAAAGTAATTCATCGGTAATTCAGTGGAATGCTAGAACAAAAAGTAATACTCTTGAGAGTAAAATAATAGAATCCAGAGATTCTATAATACATCTGTAGCATCCAGTATAAAAAAAATACTAGACATGTGAATGAACCCATAGTCAAGAGAAAAAGCCGTCACCAAAACAGGTTCCAAGATGGAATTCACAGACAAGGGCTTTAAAGACACTATTAGAAATATGTGTATGAACTTAAAGGAAAAGATGGTTTAATGAATGAACAGATAGTGGTTCTCAGCTGAGACATGAGAAGTAGAAAAAAGAAACAATGGAAATCCTGGAACTACAAAAAAAAACAAAAACAAACCTAAAATGAAAAAGTTACTGGAAGCCTTAACAAATTGGAGAAGACAGAAGTGAAATAACATTAGTTGGAAACCAGTGTTTACCAGAGGCAATGAATAGCACCAGAAATAGCAAACAGCATGGAAAAACAAAAACTAATTTTTTTCTTATTTTACTTAAAAGACAACAAGCTATAACAAGGTTTATAACATTGTATTATTGTAGTATGTATTTTATAACATATAGAAGTACAGTTTCAGACAATGATAGCAAAAAGGATGGGGTGGAATTACATGGTTGTGATGATCTTATATTTTACCTAATGTGGTACAATATTAGTTCTAAATAGATTAAGTTGAGGATACATATTATAATCCTTAGTGCAACCACTAAATACACACACACACACGTATAAAATAATATGTAGAGTGTATACAAATATATATGTGTATGTGTGTATGGAGAGAGACCTATAGCTAAAAGAATACAAAGAGTTATAGCTAAAAGAGGTTAAAGTTATATTTGATTAACGTATATCCAAGGAGTCCATTTTACTGGATGACACAGCAAAACCCTGTCTCTTAAAAAAATAAAATTATTGAATTAAAAGTTTGTTCTTTGAAAAGATGCAATTGGTAAATCCCTGGCAAGACTGATTTTTTAAAAAGGCAAAAAAGATAATAAGGTCTATCACGAACACCATATGCCAATACATTTAACAATTTAGAGGAAATGATCAAATTCCTTGTGTTAAAATATAAACTTTTCCACATTAAAATTTCAAGCTGGCCAGGCGTGGTGGCTCACACCTGTAATCCCATCACTTTGGGAGGCCAAGGTGGGTGGATTGCCTGAGCTCAGGAGTTCGAGACCACCCAGGCAACATGGTGAAACCCAGTCTCTACTAAAAAAATACAAAAAAATTAACTGGGTGTGATGGCACATGCCTCTAGTCCCAGCTACTTGGGGGCCGAGGCAGGAGAATCTCTTGAGCCCTAGAGGTGAAGGCTGCAGTGAGCCAAGATTGTGCCACTGCACTCCAGCTTGGGCTACAGAGTGAGACTCTGTCTCAAAAAAAAAAAAAAAAAAAAAAAAAAAAAAAAAAAAAATTAAGGTGTTCCAGCAGTGATTCATAAATTAAGCAGCTACAAACCAGAAATGGTCTGGGGCTCTGTTAGAGGGGGTTGAAGGGACACAGAGCAAAGAAATTGTTTCATTGGTTAAAGTTTGAGTGTTTGCCTTATTTGGACTATCCAAGTGAGAAATTTATGACAATATAACCAATGTCCCAGTTAGCCAACTGTGATTGGCTAAACTAAGTTTCATTTTCCTCATGAGGGTGTTACAGCTACATCAGTCTAATGGCCTACCAATTATTTTAACACTTGAGAAGCACAATTTATCAAAACTGATTAAAGATTAAAAGTCAGAATAGCTTTATATCTAATTGAGAAATTGAATTCATTATAAAGAATCTTCAAACAAGGAAAATGTCAAGCCCAAATGGTTTTATTAGTGAATTCTGTTAAACATTTAAGGGGAAAATGATACCAATCTGAAACAAACTCTTGCTTTATGAGACTAGCATAACTCTGATATCAAAACCTGATAAACACATTACAAGAAAATAAAATTATTGACTAATATTCCTCATGAACACAGACACAAAAGTATTTATGAAAATACTCATTTGGTCATGATATAGCATCCTTTGTATCTAAAACCAAATGAGATTTATCCCAGGAATGGTAGGTTGGGTGAACGTTCAAAAATTGATCAGTGAAATTTGGTATGTTAACAGAATATATGATCACCTCAATAAATGCAGGAAAAAACATTTGAAAAATTCAACACCCATGCATTATAAAAACTCAGCAAACTAGGAATAAAAGAGAACTTCATCAATCTGATAAAAGGTATCTAAGAAAAATTTACAGCTACCATATTATTTAAAGTGATTATTATTACATTGATGATTTCCCCACTGAAATTAGCAATAAAGTAATGGTGTCAACTGTCACCACTTTTATTCTATTTTCTATAGGAGGCTCTAGGAGGTACCATAATAAAGAAAGGAGGCAAAAAGCATGAAGACCGGAAAGAAAGAAGTAAAACTGGCTGGGCATGGTGGCTCATGTCTGTAATCCCAGCACTTTGAGAGGCCGAGATGGGCGATCGCTTGAGTTCAGGAGTTTGAGACCAGCCTGGGCATCAGGGCGAAACCCCATCTCTACAAAAAAATACAAAAATTAGCTGGGTGTAGTGGTGTGCACCTGTGGTCCTAGCTACTCAGGAGGCTGCAGTGGAAGGATCCTTGAGCCTGGGAGGTGGAGGCTGCAGCAGCCTGGTTGACAAAAGTGAGACCCTGTCTCAAAAAGAAAAACTATAATGAAAGGAAATAAAAGGCATAAAGATTGGAAAGGAAGAAGTTAAAGTATGTATTCACAAATGACATCATTATTTATCTAGAAAACTTAGAGGAATTTACAGAACAATTACTAGAACAAATAAGTGAAGTTAGCAATGTTGCATGTTTTAAGGTCAAAAAACAAAAATCACTTGTATTTCTTTTTTTGTGTGTGTGTGTGAGATGGAGTCTCACTCTGTCGCCCAGGCTGGAGTGCAGTGGTGCAATCTCGGCTCACCACACCCTCCGCTTCCTGGGTTCAAGCGATTCTCCTGCCTCAGCCTCCCGAGTAGATGGGATTACAGGCGCCCACCACCACGCCCGGCTATTTTTTGTATTTTTAGTAGAGATGAGGTTTCACCATGTTGGCCAGGCTGGTCTCGAACTCCTGACCTCAGGTGATCCACCCACCTCAGCCTCCCAAAGTGCTGGGATTACAGGTGTGAGCCACCACACCCAGCCAATCATTTGTATTTCTATACCGTAGCAACAGACAATTTGAAAATGAAATCTTAAAAACAATTCCATTGACAGTAGCATCAAATAACATAAAATAGTTCAGAATAGCCAGGTGTGATGGCCCGTGCCTGTAGTCCCAGCTACTCTGGATGGCTGAGGTAGGAGGATTGCTTGAGTCCAGGTGGATCCCTTGAGCCCAAGAGTTCAAGGCTGTAGCACACTATAATTGTGCCTGTGAATAGCCACTGCACTCCAGCTTGGGCAACATAGTGAGACTCCGTCTGTAAAATAAAATGAAACAAAACTAAAATACTGCTGAGAGAAATTATAGACCTAAGTAAATGAAAAGGCATACCATGCTTATGGATTAGAAGACTCAATATTGTTAAGATGTCACTTCTCCCCAAGTTTATCTGTAGGTTCAATGCAATCTTGATCAAAATCCCCATAAACTTTTTTTGGGGGAAGGAAGGGGTAATTGACAAGTTGATTCTTATTTCATATGGAAATGCACAGGGATTCAAGGTTGCAGTGACCCCTGTTTGCACCACTGCACTCCAGCCTGGGAGACAGAGTGAGACCTTGTCTCAAAAAAGAAATTAAAAAAAAAAAAAAAAAAGGAATGCAAAGAATCTCAAATAGCTAATATCTTCACAGTGAAAAACAAATTTGGAGAACTTAGTAGTACTTGATTTTGAGACTTAGTTGAAATCTAAAGTAACCTAGAGACAATGGTATTGTCAAAGTAGTAGGAAGTAGAATATAACAAGAGTCAGAAATAGACACATATACATTCAATGGACTTGGTTTTTTTACAAAGGTCCCAAGGCTATCCAATGCCAAAAGGAAAAGTTTTCAACAAACGGTGCTGAAACAATTAGAAATATGGAAAAAGTGAACCTGGACCCCCCATCTCACGCCACAACAAAATTATTTTGAGATAGTAATAGACCCAGAAGTAAAGGCTAAAAATATAAATCTAAAAGGAAACAATATTTTCATGACCTTGGGGTAGGCAAAGATTTATTAAAGAGGACACAAAAAACAACAAACAGAAGAAAAACCTGAAAATTGCATCAATATAAGTGTCTGCTCCTCAAAAGACACCTTTAAGAAAATGAAATGGTAAGCCACAGACTGGAAGAAGATATTTCGAATACATATATTTAACAATTTTGTATCCTGAATAAATAACTCCTGTAAATCCATAAACCAAAAAACTCCAAAGTCAGGCAAAAGATTGGAGCAGATGCTTCACAAAAGATATATGAATGACCCAGTAAGCACATGCAAATGTGCCCACCATTAATTATATGGGAAATTAAAATTAAAACCACAATAATATACCATTTCACACCGACCAAGATGGAAGTTAAAATTAAAAAAAAAAAAGAAAGGCTGACCAATGTGTCTATCTACTGGAGCTCTCCTACTGCGGGTGGGAATGTAAACTGGATGTAATCAGTCATTTTGGACAACAGGTGGCGGTTTCCTATAAAGCTAAACATAGACTTACCCTGGCACCCAGCCGACGTGGGAGAACTGGGTACACAGGTGTACACTTTACAAAACTCATCGAATTGCACACTCAGATTGTGTGCATTTTACTGTGTCTAAACGTTAGCGCTATAAAAGCAAAACAAAATATAAGATCATAAAAATAAAAGCAATTCCTAGGGGTCCTCTCCGTTCCCGGGCTTCCTCGGTGCGGAGGGAAACGAAACTAGCCCGAGGCAAAACAGCCTCCGCGAACCCCGCCCGCCGCTAGTTGCACTTTCGATTTTCCCTTTAGTTATTAAAGTTCCTATGCAGCTCCGCCTCGCGTCCGGCCTCATTTCCTCGGAAAATCCCTGCTTTCCCCGCTCGCCACGCCCTCCTCCTACCCGGCTTTAAAGCTAGTGAGGCACAGCCTGCGGGGAACGTAGCTAGCTGCAAGCAGAGGCCGGCATGACCACCGAGCAGCGACGCAGCCTGCAAGCCTTCCAGGATTATATCCGGAAGACCCTGGACCCTACCTACATCCTGAGCTACATGGCCCCCTGGTTTAGGGAGGGTGAGTGTCTCCAGCGGCGCCTTCTCGGCGGAAAACAATTGAGGACTTGTTTTTCTCTTGCTTCGTTCCCTTCTTTTAATCAATGCAGAGAGCCTGCCAGACTCCCCAGGTTTGTGGTAAGATCTCCGCAGCATTTTAGGCTAGAGGTTGCCAGAGTTTGAGGAGCCCTCGGAGGCCTAGGTGGGGAAACTGAGTTCCAGCGAGGTGAAGTGACTTGCTTAAGGGTGCTCATCTATTTAGGTTCAAAGCTGGGGAAGAAATTTTGTTTCATTTATTTTCACTAATATTAAAGTCTACTGTGTGCTTGGCTGGGTACTGACAGAGATTGAGAAATAAGATAAGGGCTCTTCCTTAGTATACATTACAGTCCAAGGGATGGGACACAAAGGGCAGATAATTACAGTACTGAGCACAAAGTGCGGTCTGAGCTTAAAGGAAGTTGATGCTTACTCTGCCGAATCTTATTTGCACGCCTAAAGAAGTGGAAGCTGGAGAGGAGCCGGACTTTTCCAGACCGAATAGCTTTAGGCTTTAATACAGGTGTTTCCATCTAACTTCGGAGACAGGTGATCCTGGGTAATGACCATTTTGTAAATTTGTATCGAATTACTTTGTGCTGGAGATGAGCAGAGGCTTCTGGGAAAGAGGTGAAAGGAGGTGGTACTTAAAAGATATCGATGAGGCCGGGCGTGGTCCCTCACGCTGTAATCCCAGCTGTAGAGCACCCGATGCTGTTGCTGTTCGGGGTGCCACTATGTAACCCGCACGGACCTAGGGGACTGAACAAAGAGGGGCGAACGCGGGAATAAAAGACAAGAGACAAAAGAGTATATCTGGAAGAAGGGGTCAGGGGGCACCTTGCCTCTAGTGGACAAGGGCCCTGAGCTTTACACAGCCCTTCTTATTAGGCAAAAGAGATAGCGAGAAGGGGAGGTGCTTGTTGGCTGGCTGCTTGATTCACAGCAGGCTTGCAAGACTGCATTCTTTGAACAATAGGTGCTAGATTTCTCAATAAATAATTTCAAGGAGCCTGGCGCCAGGGAGTGAGGCGCTCAGCAAACCATTTGGTGGCAAGGCAGTGTGAGTTTGCCCAGGTGCTGCATTCATGATAAACAGTTTGCTGTTTGATCATATAGCCTCCAGCGGAATGCTGAGTTGGTCACATCCCAAGGGCCTTCGGCTCCCTGCAGCCAGCACTTTGGGAGGCCTAGGCGGGTGGATCACAAGGTCAGGAGTTCGAGACCAGCTTGGCCAATATGGTGAAACCCCGTCTCTACCGAAAAATACAAAATTAGCCAGGCGTAGTGGTGCACTCCTGTAGTCCCAGCTACTCAGGAGGCTGAGGAATGAAAATCGCTTGAACCAGGGAGGCAGAGGTTATGGTGAGATCGCACCACTGCACTCAGCCTGGGTGACATCGTGAGACTCTTGTCTCCAAAAAAAAAAAAAAAAAAAAAAAAAAAACCGAAAAACAAAAAAAAGTCGATGAGAGGGGGCCTGGGAATCCTAAAAGTCTCCAAGTGCCAGTCTTTCCTGATGTTATTGCAGTTTTTGGAAATGGCGTTAAGACCGGCAACTAACTTGAATGCTAATTGCTCTACAAAACTAAAAGAAAGGTTGTGGAATGGCATTCTAGTGACCAGTGTAGCTTGGCACCTGAAGAAGTACTTGGAAGAAACACTAACAACTGGTGTGAATTCCATTTTTTCATGCACTCATATATTGATTTGATACACTTTGATGGAATAAAATAAGCAACTCGTGTCAGTATTATGTTAGCATTGGAGGTAATTTACTCAGCACCTATTACCTAATAGTGTCATTGAAAGTTGAGGAAGCAATGATGAGCACAGTAGAAACTGTCCCTGCCCTAATAGTGATTAGTGTGTCTATGTGAATGCAGGTAACAAAATAGTAAATAATAAAGTGCAGCAGTGCTTTGATGGAAAAAAGCTGGGATGTCTACTAGAGTCCAAAGGGCACAGCCAAAGCTTCCCAGATATTTGGCATTTGAACTGAGGTCTAAAGAAAGAGGAAAAATTAGCTGGAAGGAGACAATAAATTGCAGTTAGAGGGCTCCTTATGTGCAAAGGTCCAAGGTGAAAGAGAAACTAGAGTGTTCCAGGTATCCAGAAAATATTAGTATGGTGGCATTGTGGAGAGAGAGGCAGGAGTTCAGAGAGATGAAACTTGACAGGCAAGCAGAAGTGGGATATGAACAGTTTTGGACTTTATCCACTGAAATGTGATAAGGAGAGGGGACCAAAATAGAATTTGCATTGTAGAAAAACGACTTTGACTTCAGTTTGAGGAATGGCTTGAATAGGTACAAGACAGGGAGAGAGAGAATGGCAGATGCAATGATGCCAGGACAGCAGAGTGGAAAAACTGGAAGCAAGGATACCAGTTAGGAAAATAGGAATCCGGAGGAATGGGGAGAAATGGATGGATTCAAGACACATTTGGAAAGTATAATCAATAGGTCTCTTGGGGAGTTGTGGTGAGGAGGTAAGGGTGAGGACAGGGTGGAAATGACTTCCAGGTCTCTGGCTTTGGTCCTTGGGTGAATAAATGGTAGTTTCTGAGATAGGAAATGTGGGAAGAGGGACAGGTTTGCAGGAGGAGGAGAAAAATTCGGATTTAGGTATGCTGGGTTTGTATGCCTTGGATACATCCATGAAGAGATGTTCATCAGATTGTTGGCTGCACAGGTGTGGAGTTCAGGAAAAGGGTCCACAGTTGGGGAGACATTAATGTGGAGATCCTTGCTGAAACAATGAGAGTGGGTGCAATTGTTACTGAAACACCAGGGATTCAGCCTAGGTTCTTTTGCTGGCTGCACATAAAGCCAATCACTGAGACAACAAGTTTTGCCAAGGCTTTAATTGGGAGCTGCAGCAAAGGAGGTAGGAGATCAGTCTCAAATCCATCTCCCTGACCCGTTGAAATTAGGGGTATGGATAGAAGGAAAGAAATATAACTAGGTGTTGGAAAATGGACTCTGGAGGGGTAAGGAAGCAATCATGATAAATGAGGGGCCTGGTGTCTCATTGTCTGGATGTGATGGTCTGATGAGTTTCAGTTCTTTTATACCTTTTGAGAGGCCTGGGGGTCCTTTTCCTGGGGAAGGAACTCAGATAAAACAAATATAAGTTTCAGCTTTAAGATCAGGAGGGTCAATTTCCATGTTTATTCGAAAGAATTGTATATGGGACTATTGTGTTGGTTTCAGTCCCCCTCTTTCTATTTATCAATTCCTGGATCATGGGGAATCTGATCCTCAATCTTTCTGGCAGCTTCATGCTGAGGAATGGCGTGGTGGGCAGTTCCATACTATGGGTGACCACGTGGCCATCCAGGAATCAAAAGTTAATCTAATACTATAGTTTTCTTCTGAGACACAATCTGTATCATTACTGTTCCCCGCTTCCACCAAAGACATATCACAGCTGGATGGGCCTACCTGCAAAATAAGCCTCAGTTACATATACTTGGCTTATTTACCCACACAAAGTGCAGCAAAAATTATTGTCCATATGGGCTCTCCTAATTGGCTTTGCTGGAACCTCTCACAAGGCCATTTCAGTCAAAGCCCTGGGAAAATAACTTGTTCCTCCAACTGTGTCCCCTTATAAAAGAAAACAGATTTTTATTAAATGTATGCAAGAAAACACATTGCCATGAACTAAGAATATTCACAAATAGTTTATAAATTCTGGAGAAATTAGGGAGAGAGAAAATGCCTCAAATTCTGTTTAAAAGGGTATACTCTACTTAATATACTGTATTCTTAAAGGTTATGAAGAGCTTAAAAGAAAAAATTCTCCAGATTCCAAAAAACAAAAATTCTCCAGACTTTTTCAAACAAAACCATAAAAAATTATTTCAGTCCCACATTAGTTCAGTCCATGCAATCAACTCCTGCTGTGTTTCATATTGGGTTAGTAATCTTTATAAACATGTCAGCCTTTTAATTAAGAGGGACTCTAATTAAGAGTCCTAGAAGTTTTCTGTATTCCAGTGGCACAGTCTCCAAAGTTATCAGAAATCTGCATTCAAGACTCCTTTTCATGAAGTCCCCTAAATAAACAAGCTCTGGACTATATCTGATTATAAGTCACTTTTTGAAAAGAATCAATGCAAAACAACAATTGCAATGACAAAAGTCTTAGGAGAGCCATAAAGACACAGTTGACAAGGAAATTTTTTTTTCTGTTGGCATACAACAATTTAACATAATAATCATCATTACTGACACCATATATTAAGACATATCAGAATTTTAGGAATCTCATATAGTCCTGCAACACATATTAATAGCACATCTATACAAATATAACCCAAAGGAAGTTAAATACCACCTCACATTTGATAATGCTGCCTGTATAATTCTAATATACCAAAGAAGCCTAACATGTCTGTCTGTATTGGAATTCAAGGAAGCTAATACACAAAAAAGTTAGTTTGAGGTTAAAAAAAACCCCCTGAATTTAGAACTTGAAATATTTGCTGTTGGGAAGTCTGTCAGTATCAAAGATTTAAGACACTTGATATCACAAAATAGGATCACAGGTCGCTACAAAATAGTTATTCATTTAGCCAAAAAGATAAAACAAACACATTTACCCTTTGATAGGCGACTCAGTTTCCCAACAATAAGGCCTAATAAAGACAGCATGAGGCCAACTAAATGTCTCTCCCTCTTCCTTTTCTTCCCCCCACAGTTCACTCAAAAGGTAAACAAATATTTTATGTCAATATTATACAAACATTTTATTCAAAAGAGAACATCAAATTTTACCTTTGTATGGTATATTTTTAATGTTAAAGCTAATTTTAATAAAACCTTATAAGCCGAATTTTAATCAGTTTGACTATAAGATAGGATTTCTGTGAAGTTTTTTTTTTTTTTTTTTTTTTTGAGATGGTGTCTGGCTCTGTTGCCCAGGCTACAGTGGTGCGATCTTGGCTCACTGCAACCTCTGCCTCCTGGGTTCAAGCAATTCTCCTGCCTCAACCTCCCTAGTAGCTGGGATTACAGGCCATGCCACCACACTTGGCTAATTTTTGTATTTTTAGTAGAGACGGGGTTTCACCATGTTGGCCAGGCTGGTCTCCAACTCGTGGCCTCAGCTGATCCGCCTGCCTCGGCCTCCCAAAGTGCTGGGATTACAGGCGTGAGCCACCACACCCGGCCTGAGTCACCAGCCCCGGCCTGAGCCACCACGCCCAGCCTGAGCCACCACACCCAGCCATCTTTTTATAACGTTTTACGATTTCCTATTAAAGAGTAGAGTAATGCTCCAAGAAAACCCTGTTATGACACAGGGGCCCAGACATTGGCCTTGCATCAGTGTGCTTTTGATGTTAATGTTTAATTTATAGAAAAACCCTGAACTAATTTTATAACTCAAAATCAGCCCTTACAAGCTCACGTGCTCACCTTTTGTGCAATAGTTCCTGGGCGTAGAGGGATTGAATGGTTTTAATTTCTAGCCCTATGTCTCATGAAAGCAGTTCATTTTGATTGTCACCTTCTCCTGAGTCTGAAGACGAGGCTTCATTTGGTGTCAGTGCTCAAGATTTAGCAGGTATTGGTGTCTTTTTTGGATCCAGGAGTCAAAGGCCTTTGAATTACTAAATAATTGTTTCCTAAGAATTATTTAATAGCATATTTATACTGCAGGAAACCTCATCATTCTCTCTAATATGTCACAAAATAAAACCCTGGGATTTGGTGCCTAGTAGTTACTGTCTGAAACACTTCAACCCATTATACAATCCATTGTATTAAAGTGGTTAGGTTACTCCTTGCATTTATCTGCTAGCATTCTAGTGACAAAACTGTGACCTAGAGCCTCAAAAATGTGGTAAGTCCTGTGCCAAACTTACCAAAGTAAGATAGTTAACTTTTCTTTCCATCATTAAAAAAAAAAATGGTAAATGCAAGTATCAGTTTTGGAAATTCAATATGAAGATAAATCTTTCATTTAAAAAGTATACAACAAAACAAGGACAAAGTGACAATAAGCACACAGTAATTTCTTTTCAGCTATTTTGAAAGAGCCTCATCATACATTTCCAAGATTGGTTTCTAGATAAAGTACTGACAACTGATTTAAGTGACTTACACCACTAGAATCTTCAAACTGGCATAACACTTGTATGTACATATTTTGTTTTCAAGTATACATGTGAAGGCCCATCAGTGATAAATGGCTTAGGATAAAAAAAACACTAGAAAGTCTTATAATTTTTTTTATGACTTAATCCAAGTAAATGTTATTTAATCTTAATAATAGTAAACACAACTAAATTAGTTTGAGAGAAAGCCCAATCAATATAATTTCCTTAAAGACAAAGCCAATTTTTTTCTGAATATTAAGACTTTGTACCCATATAGCAGTTTTGCCTCATTAAAGGAAAAGATCTGAAACCGCTATTGTTTATTGAATTGAATTACCTTGGAAATAAACACCACTTAAACATTTCTCTCACCTACTTTTCCAAATAACCAATAATAATGTACTATTTCTGTTCAGAACTTAGAAGAATAAACCTTTTATTATTTTTTGCCAGGAATCTTAAAGTTCTTATAGCTCTCTAGTTCATTAGAGGTAAGCAAAACCAAACAAATTTTAAAGGCTGGTGTCCACCAACAATTTTTGGAAGCTTGAAAAAGGTAGCTTAGGAACTTTGGATAAGTAGAGCAAATGATGAGATACTGGAAATGCATAGGAAACAAAATGATTATTCATGGAACCAAATAAAAGCCTTCCTTACATTAGAAACTAAAAGCCATCAATGGTTTTATTAATATGTATATATAAGTAAAACCTAAAGAAGAAGAAACAGCAAATAAATGCAAATTAAAAGAAAAAACAAACAGGAAACCAACCTGAAAATTTTCTACTCAGTTTAACTTGGAGGCTATAGTGTTACCCAGAGCCAAAAAAACACATGATGAATATTTTGTTCCTGATGCACAATTTAATGTCTTTAAGTTCACCAATACCACTATATATTTTGTGCAATTAAGAAATTCACTTTAGGCTGGGCGTGGTGGCTCAGGCCTGTAATCTCAGCACTTTGGGAGGCCAAGATGGGTGAATCACTTGAGGCCAGGAGTTTGAGACCAGCCTGGCCAACATGGTAAAACCCCATCTCTACTAAAAATACAAAAATTGGCCAGGCATGATGGCACACAACTATAATCCCAGCTACTCTGGAGGAGGCCGACCAGTAAGTATTATACTGTAATGATAGTATATCTATGCAGAAGAGCAAATACAGTGTGAAGCAATGCAAGCATGTAGGTGAAATTTGGTTGTTGCTATATCTGGCTTTTATCTGGCTTCATGGTTAACTATATTAAGAAAGGATTGCCAAACTGCCAATGTGTTTCTTTACAATATTTCTTATTTTACTTTCATCAAGACTAAGAGCTTTAACTATGAGCAGTGTTAATTAGCCAGATTTCTCCAATATTCTATCTGGTTTTAAGAGAATATTATTTAAGCCTTTTATACTTTGTATTTTCTCTGTCTGTACATAAAGGTAGACACACAAAGAAATAGGAAAGAAACTACATGACTTACACACACCATCTATGATATGCTTAGACTTTCTGATTTGTCCTGGATTTTCGTTCTTTTTCTTCTTCTTTTTTTTTTTTTAAACAGTCATTTTACTTTAGGACAAAAAAAATACCATTATAAGATGCTTTGTCATACAAAATTATTTTCTTTATAACCTTCCTTACCAAAAATACATCTTTATACTCATAACTTTCTCCACATCTCTCTCGTCTACTTGTTCTTTTCTACCTTGTTTCATAAGTAACCTTTCAAGTCCATAATTATTAATAAACTTTAGATAACTTCTGAGTTAGATAAAATTTTTTTCTGAATAAAAACACATTGTCTTTTGCACATTTTATATATAGAATTACATATGAACTAGAATTCTTATCCTTAGTAACAACCTTAAATTTCAGTAAAAACCTAGGAAGCAAGAAATCTTGAGCTGCCTAGCAGATATTAGTATTTTATAGATGAGAACCATTCCACAATTTTTAGAAACATGTTCCCCACATCATAACCTTTTCTTAATTGGAAATGACTCAAACATCCAATGATTATATTTCCGATTATGCCAAAAGTTCATTTACAGCATTTGACCATTTACATTTTATTTATTTTTAGCAGTTTATCTAGATTATTTCTGCATCATTTCCTTCTTAACCATTTTATAACCTGTGAATGTCAGGTGTTCACCTAAATAACCTTAAAATTAATACGTGGGCATTTTGATCAATAACTCAGAAGATTCAGCTGTTTTCATTAAACTAACAGCATTAAATTAGTCTTATAAAGAATTCACACAAATATTCACTGGGTTTATAGCTTTATAACCTGCTGCCAAACTCTGATACCTCAAATTATCTAGCTGAGACAAATATAAAGCCGAGACAAAAATGTATGCTGACAATTCTGAAGACATTTCTATTTTTATTTTACCAATAATTTTAAAGACAGCTTGTTTATTAAAGATTTACTGAAGTCATGTGAACTTGAAAAACACTTTGGACTTAATTTATGAGCACTCTTATTTATAAGCCAATTTGGTAGGTATAGTGTATAACATAGTTAATGTACATCTAGATAAACACATCTAAACATGTATACACACACAAAGATCCAACAGCTTTTACCTTGGAACTCTAGCCATGAGATAGCAATACAAACTCACGAATCTACAACCAAGTCCACATGGCTAAAATTTGTTTGCTCCAATCGGTAATCCAATGAAGGCTGTGAACCAGAATTTTGGGTAAAGCAGTTTCCATGGCAGTTTGATTTTTAGAAGCTAGATTCCAAAGAAACCTGGGGCCAAACAGCACTACAGAAGAACGTCATGTGGAAACTACTCACCAGGCCCAACCCTGCTTAAAACAGCGGCATAAAAGCCAGAATACATGGGACTCCACCTGGCTTTCCCATTCAACAGCCAACTCCAGATTCCAAAGAATATTGGGGCAAACGTAGTACAAAAGAATATTTGTTTGTTGAATTCTAATTTCCCATTACTATATTGACACATACAATCAACAAAACACAATCCGACTGCTGAAGCAATAGACAAGCCCGAACAGTGTCCAAACTGAAACAGTCGAGGTGCTTTTCTCTCTCAATCGGGCTTTATTAACCTGCAAACAGAAATTTCTTAGGAATTTTCCAAATTGAGAGAAGCCGATCCCACTGTCTGGTACCCAAAAAAGACACTAACTTGGCCAGACACAAACACAGAAATTACAAACACGCTCTCTAGAGTATCATACTGAGAGTCAGGGTGCTTCCCTTTCTTAGTCAGTTGGGCTGGTTTAACCTGCAAATGGAAGCTCCTTTTAAAATTTTCAAATTGAGCAGATCTTGCTGTCTGGGCCAAGAAAGGACACTCACTTATCCAGATGCCAGTGTCACATTTCAAAGGCTGTTCTTCCTAGCAATCAGGAACTCAGCTGGGGCTGGCAGCAGCAGGGCCAGAGAGACCAAAACTCACTTCCAGCCAAAATTGGGTGGGCAGTTGCTTAGGAGGGCTTCTGAGACTCCTAGACCACAGCAACCCAGCCACAAAAATCTGTTACTGAAGCACCAGGGGTTTGGCCTAGGTCCTCCTGGTAGCCACACAGAAAGCCAAACAGGGAGACAACAAGTATTGCCAGGGAAGAAGCCTTTAATTGGGAGCTGTAGCCAAGAAGATGAGAGATTAGTCTCAACTCCATCTCCCTGACCCACTAAAATTAGGGGTTTATATAGCAGGGAAGAAATGTAACTGTGTGGGAAAACAGGAACTCAGGAAGCAATCATGATGAATGAGGGGCCTGGCCTCATTGTCTGGATGTGATAATCTGGTGAATTTCAGTTTGATACTTTTTGAGAGGCCTGGTGGTCTTTTGCCTGAGAAAGGATCTCAGATAAAACAAGTGTAAGCTTCAAGTTTAAAGACCAGAAGGGTCAATTTCTGTTTTTCTGGAATAAATGTCTGTGGGACTGTGGTCAGTTTCAAGATTGCTTTTTGGAGTGTGAGTAGAAAGAGCCTGGGACGGAATCCTGTGCAAGCACTCATTTAAGAGATGAGCAGAGGAGGAAAAGAGACTGGGAAAGAGTGCCACATATGTGGGCAAGGAGGCATCACGGAAACCAAGGGAGAATGATGTGGTGGATAACATGGCTGAATGATGCTGAGAACCCAAGGTCTGTCAGAACTAAAAAAACGTTCCCTTACTTTGGCATTATTGACTTTTGGGGCCACCCACAGGACTAGTTTCTGTGGAATAGGGATGAAGGTAAAGGTATAAGATGGTTGGGAAACTAACTGCAAGAGTAGACTCAGGAATAAATAGAGGGCAAGGAAGTGGAGAAGATAAATGTAGGCAGTTCTTTTGAAAATATGATTCACAAATGAAAAATTACAAGGGAGGTAGTGCTTAATAGTATCTTCACACAAATCCAGTCTATACAATTTGGTTACACTGTGGGTTCCAAGAAAGGAGAGAGAAGACAGAAGCAAAGATAAATGGAAAAAATAGAAAATTTTACTTGTCTGAGAAAGAAACAGCACTTTGCATGTGAGTTTATTGAGAAGGGAATACATTAGTAGGATTTTCATATTTCTCAGATGAAGAAATAATCATGTAAACATTCAGGAAAAACAAACGTGTGGCTTTTTTTTTTTTTTTTTGAGACAGAGTCCTGCTCTGTCACCCAGGCTGGAGTGCAGTGGTCTGATCTCGGCTCACTGCAACATCCACTTCTGGGTTCAAGTGAGATGGGGTTTCACCATGTTGGTCAGGCTGGTCTCGAACTCCTGGCCTTGTGGTCCGCACGCCTTGGCCTCTCAAAGTGCTAGGATTACAGGCGTGAGCCACCATGCCTGGCCACAAATAAGATTACTCAGGTTTCCTCTAACGGAATCAACATCAAGTTGGTCTCTGACTTCTCTGCAACTCTAATGTAACTAAAGAGTAAAACTCTGTGCAGCATTTAAAAGGTAAAACAAAGTTGCCCCTATTTTATATTTAGCCAGGTATTTATGTATGTAAGCAAGAAGAAAACATTATTATATATGTGGGGTCTCATATATATTTCTTACAGAAATTACTGGAAATGTGATTCCAAACAATGGGAACTGAAAAAAATTAGCTTAAAAAAAGGAGTTCTTGTAATGCAAGGATTGGTCGTGAATGTTGAAACTAGGCATGTAGAGTTGATTTTAAATAATTTTATAAATTTGTCCACAAAGGTAAGTGCAATAGTCAAGCATTTCTTTTTTAAATTATACTTTAAGTTCTGGGACACATGTGCAGAACGTGCAGGTTTGTTACATAGGTATACACGTGCCATGGTGGTTTGCTGCACCCATCAAACCATCATCTCCATTAGGTATTTCTTCTAATGCTATCCCTCCCCTATCCTCCCAGCCCCCAACAGGCCCCAGTGTGTGATGTTCCCCTCCCTGTGTCCATGTGTTCTTACTGTTCAACTCCCACTTATGAGTGAGAACATACGGTGTTAGGTTTTCTGTTCCTGTGTTAGTTTGCTGAGAATGATGGTTTCCAGCTTCATCCATGACCCTGCAAAGGACATGAACTCATTCTTTTTTATGGCTGCGTAGTATTCCATGGTGTATATGTGCCATATTTTCTTTATCCAGTTTATCATTGATGGGCATTTGGGTTGGTTCCAAGTCTTTGCTGTTGTGAACAATGCCGCAAGACACATACATGTGCATGTGTCTTTATAGGAGAATGATTTACAATAGTTTGGTATATACCCAGTAATGGGATTGCTGGGTCAAAGGATATCTCTGGTTCTAGATCCTTGAGGAATCACCCACACTGTCTTCCACAATGGTTGAACTAATTTACACTCCCACCAAAAGTGTAAAAGCGTTCCTGTTTCTCCACATCCTCTCCAGCATCTGTTGTTTCCTGACTTTTTAATGATTGCCATTATAACTGGCATGAGATGGTATCTCATTGTGGTTTTGATTTGCATTTCTGTAATGACCAGTGATGATGAGCATTTTTTCATATGTTTGTTCGTGGTATAAATGTCTTCATTTGAGAAATGTCTGCTCATATCCTGCACCCACTTTTTGATGGGGTTGTTTCTTTCTTTTAAATTTGTTTAAGTTCCTTGTAGATTCTGGATATTAGCCCTTTGTCAGATGGATAGATTGCAAAAATTTTCTCTCATTCTGTAGTTTGCCTGTTCATTCTGATGATAGTTTCTTTAGCTGTGCAGAAGCTCTTTAGTTTAATTAGATTCTATTTGCCAATTTTGATTTTTGTTGCCATTGCTTTTGGTGTTTTAGTCATGAAGTCTTTGCCCGTGCCTATGTCCTGAATGGTATTGCCTAGGTTTTCTTCTAGGGACTTTATGGTTTTAGGTCTTACATTTAAGTCTTTAATCCATCTTGAGTTAATTTTTGTCTAAGGTGTAAGGAAGTGGTCCAGTTTCAGTTTTCTGTATATGGCTAGTCAGTTTTCCCAACAACATTTATTAAATAGGGAATCCTTTCCCCATTGCTTCTTTTTGTCAGGGTTGTCAAAGACCATATGGTTGTAGATGTGTGGCATTATTTCTGATGACTGTTCTGTTCCATTGGTCTATATATCTGATAATCTGTTTTGGTAGCAGTACCATGCTCTTTTGATTACTGTAGCCTTGTAGTATAGTTTGAAGTCAGGTAGCATGATGCCTTCAGCTTTGTTCTTTTTTGCTTAGGATTGTCTTGGCTATGTGGGCTCTTTTTTGGTTCCATATGAACTTTAAAGTAGTTTTTTCCAATTCTGTGAAGAAAGTCATTGGTAGCTTGATGGGGATGGCATTGAATCTATAAATTACCTTGGGCAGTATGGCCATTTTCACGATATTGATTCTTCCTACCCGTGAGCATGGAATGTTCTTCCATTTGTTTGTATCCTCTTTTATTTCATTGAGCAGTGGTTTGTAGTTCTCCTTGAAGAGGTCCTTCACATCCCTTGTAAGTTGGATTCCTAGGTATTTTATTCTTTTTGTAGTAATTGTGAATGGGAGTTCACTCATGATTTGGCTCTCTGTTTGTCTGTTATTGGTGTATAGGAATGCTTGTGATTTTTGCACATTGATTTTGTATCCTGAGACTTTGCTGAAGTTGCTTATCAGCTTAAGGAGATTTTGGGCTGAGATGATGGGGTTTTCTAGATATACAATCATGTCATCTGCCAACAGGGACAATTGGACTTTCTGTTTTCCTAATTGAATACCCTTTATTTCTTTCTCTTGCCTAATTGCTCTGGCCAGAACTTCCAACAGTATGTTGAATAGGAGTGGGGAGAGAGGGCATCTTTGTCTTGTGCTGGTTTTCAAAGGAAATGCTTCCAACTTTTGCCCATTCAGTATGATATTGGCTGTGGGTTTGTCATAAATAGCTCTTTATTATTCTGAGATACATTCCATCAATACCTAGTTTATTGAGAGTTTTTAGCATGAAGGGCTGTTGAATTTTATCAACGGCGTTTTCTGCATCTATTGAGATAATCATGTGGTTTTTGTCATTAGTTCTGTTTATGTGATGGATTACATTTATTGATTTGTATATGTTGAACCAGCCTTGTATCCCAGGGATGAAGCAGACCTGATTATGGTGAATAAGCTTTTTGATATGCTGCTGGATTCAGTTTGCCAGTATTTTATTGAGGATTTTTGCATCAATGTTCATCAGGAATATTGGCCTGAAATTTTCTTTTTTGGTTTTGCCTCTGCCAGGTTTTGGTATCAGGGTGATGTTGGCCTCATAAAATGAGTTAGGGAGGAGTCCCTCTTTTTCTATTGTTGGGAATAGTTTCAGAAGGAATGGTATAAGCTCCTCTTTGTACCTCTGGTAGAATTCAGCTGTGAATCCATCTGGTCCTGGGCTTTTTTTGGTTGGTAGGCCATTACTGCCACAACTTGTTATTGGTCTCTTCAGGGATTTGACTTCTTCCTGGTTTAGTCTTGGAGGGTATATGTGTCTAGGAATTTATCCATTTCTTCTAGATTTTCTAGTGTATTTGTGTAGAGGTGTTTATAGTATTCTGTGATGGTAGTTTGTATTTCTGTGGGATCACTGGTGACATCCCCTTTATTATTTTTATTGTATCTATTTGAGTCATCTCTCTCTTCTTCTTTATTAAACTGGCTTGTGGTCTATATATTTGTTAATCTTTTCAAAAAACCAGCTCCTGGATTCACTGATTTTTTTGAAGGGTTTTCTGTGTCTCTATCTCCTTCAGTTCTGCTCTGATCTTAGTTATTTCTTGTCTTTTGCTAGCTTTTGAATTTGTTTGCTCTTGCTTCTCTGGTTCTTTTAATTGTGATATTATGATGTTGATTTTAGATCTTTCCCTCTTTCTCCTGTGGGCATTTAGTGCTATAAATTTCCATCTACACACTGCTTTAAATGTGTCCCAGAGATTCTGGTACGTTGTGTCTTTGTTCTCATTGGTTTCAAAGAACTTATTTATTTCTGCCTTCATTTCATATTTACCCTGTAGTCATTCAGGAGCAGGTTGTTCAGTTTCCATGTAGTTGTGCAGTTTTGAGTGAGTTTCTTAATCCTCAGTTCTAATTTGATTGCACTGTGTTCTGACAGACTGTTATGATTTCCGTTCTTTTGCATTTGCTGAGGAGTGTTTTATTTCCTATTATGTGGTCAATTTTAGAATAAGTATGATGTGGTGCTGAGAAGAATGTATATTCTATTCATCTGGGGTGGAGAGTTCTGTAGATGTCTACTAGGTCAGCTTTGTCCAGAGCTGAGTTCAAGTCCTGAATATTCTTGTTAATTTTCTGTTTTGTTGATCTATTATTGACAGTGGGGTGTTAAAGTCTCCCACTATTATTGTGTGGGAGTCTAAGTCTCTTTGTAGGTCTGTAAGAACTTGCTTTATGAATCTGGGTATTCCTGTATTGGGTGCATATGTATTTAGCATAGTTAGCTCTTCTTGTTGCATTGATCCCTTTACTATTATATAATGCCCTTCTTTCTCTTTTTTGATCTTTGTTGGTTTAAAATCTGTTTTATCAGAGACTGGGATTGCAACCCCTGCTTTTTTTTTTTCTTTCCATTTGCTTGGTAAATCTTCCTCCATCCCTGTATTTTGAGCCTATGTGTGTCTTTACATGTGAGATGGGTCTCCTGAATACAGCACACCAATGGGTCTTGACTCTTTATCCAATTTGCCAGTCTGTGTCTTTTAATTGGGGCATTTAGCCCATTCACACTTAAGGTTAATATTGTTATGTGTGAATTTGATCCTGTCATTATGATGCTAGCTGGTTATTTTGCCTGTTAGTTGATGCAGTTTCTTCATAGTGTCGATGGTCTTTACAATTTGGTATGTTTTTGCAGTGGCTGGTACCAGTTTTCCTTTCCATATTTAGTGCTTCCTTCAGGAGCTCTTGTAAGGCAGGCCTGGTGGTGACAAAATCTCTCAGCATTTGCTTGTCTGTAAAGGATTTTATTTCTTCTTTGCTTATAAATCTTAGTTTGGCTGTATATGAAATTCTGGGTTGAAAATTCTTGTCTTTAAGAATGTTGAATATTGGCCCCCACTCTCTTCTGGCTTGTAGGGTTTCTACAGAGAGATCTGCTGTTAGTCTGATGGGCTTCCCTTTGTGAGTAACTCAACCTTTCTCTCTGGCTGCACCTAACATTTTTCCTCCATTTCAACCTTGGTGAATCTGATGATTATGTGTCTTGGGGTTGTTCTTCTCGAGGAGTATCTTTGTGGTGTTCTCTGTATTTCCTGAATTTGAATGTTGGCCTGTATTGCTAGGTTGGGGACGTTCTCCTGGATAACATCCTGACGAGAGTTTTCCAACTTGGTTCCATTCTCCCCGTCACTTTCGGGTACACCAATCAAACATAGGTTTGGTCTTTTCACATAGTCCCATATTTCTTGGAAGCTTTGTTCATTCCTTTTCATTCTTTTTTTCTCTAATCTTGTCTTCATGCTTTATTTCATTAAATTCATCTTCAATCTCTGATATCCTTTCTTCTGCTTGATTGATTCAGCTATTGATAGTTGTGTATGCTTCACAAAGTTCTCGTGCTGTGTTTTTTGGCTACATCAGGTCATTCAGGTCCTTCTCTAAACTGGTTATTCTAGTTGTCACTCCTCTAACCTTTTTTCAAGGTTTGTAGCTTCCTTGCATTGGGTTAGAACATGCTCCTTTAGCTCAGAGGAGTTTCTTATTACCCACCTTCTGAAGCCTACTTCTGTCAATTTGTCAAACTCATTCTCCGTCCAGTTTTGTTCCGTTGCTGGCAAGGAGTTGTGATCCTTTGGAGGAGAAGAGGATCACATTTTTTTTCTGCCTTTTTGCACTGGCGTTTCCTCATCTTCATGGATTTATCTGCCCTTGGTCTTTCATGTTGGTGACCTTCAGATGAGTTATCTGTGTGGATGTCCTTTTCGTTGATATTGATGATATTCCTGTTTGTTAGTTTTCCTTCTAACAGGCCCCTCAGCTGCAGGTCTGCTGGAGTTTGCTGGATGTCCACTCCAGACCCTGTTTGCCTGGGTATCACCAGTGGAGGCTGCAGAACAGCAAAGATTGCTGCCTGTTCCTTCCTTTGGAAGCTTCCTCCCAGAGGGGCACCTGCCAGATGCCAGCTGGAGCTCTCCTGTATGAGGTGTCTGTTGACCCTGGTAGGAGGTGTCTCCCCACCAGGAGGCACAGGTATCAGGGACCCACTTAAGGAGGCAGTCTGTCCGTTAGCAGAGCTCAAGCACTGTGCTGGGAGATCTGTTGCTCTCTTCAGAGCCAGCAGGCAGCAACATTTAAGTCTGCTGAAGCTGTGCCCACAGCTGCCCTTTTCCCCAGGTGCCCTCTCCCAGGGAAATGGGAGTTTTATCTGTAAGCCCCTGAGTGGGGCTGCTGGCTTTTTTTCAGAGATGCCCTGCCTAGAGTGAGGAATCTAGAGAGGCAGTCTAGCTATAGTGGCTTTGCCAAGCTGCAGTAGGGTCTACCCAGTTTGAACTTCCTGGTGGCTTTGTTTACACTGTGAGGGGAATAGGGCCTACTCAAGCCTCAGTAATTGTGGATGCCCCTCCCCCAACCAAGCTTGAGCATCCCAGGTCAACTTCAGATTGTTGTGCTGGCAGCGAGAATTTCAAGCTAGTGGATTTTAGCTTGCTGGGCTCTGTAGGGGTGGGATTTGCTGTGCTAGACCACTTGGCTCCCTGGCTTCAGCCCCCTTTCCAGGAGAGTGAATGGTTCTGTCTTGCTGGCATTCCAGGTGTCACTGAGGTATGAAAAAAAAAACTGCAGCTAGCTCAGTGTCTGCCCAAATGGCCACCCAGATTTGTGCTTGAAACCCAGATCCCTGGTGGCATAGGCACCGGAGGGAATCTCCTGGTCTGCTGGTTGCGAAGACTTGGGGGGAAAAGCATAGTATCTGGGCCAGGGTGCACTGTTCCTCATGGCACAGTCCCTCATGGCTTCCCTTGGCTAGGGGAGGGAGTTCCCAGACCCCTTGTGCTTCCCAGGTGAGGTGACACCCTACCCTGCTTCAGCTCGCTGTCTGTGGGCTGCACCCACTGTCTATCCAGTCCCAGTGAGGTGAACCGGGTACCTCTGTTGGAAATGCAGAAATCACCCGCCTTCTGTGTTGATCTCTCTGTGAGCTGCAGACCGGAGCTGTTCCTTTTTTGGCCATCTTGCCCTGGTTCCTAGTCAAGCATTTTTTAAGAGAGGATTTTCATATAGTAAAAAAAAAAAAAAAAAAATTAAGTAAATACTTTGGTTTAAAATTTTAGATTGAGTCTGTTAGGAGCTAGGGAAAATTATGATAAATAAGAGTTAAATCCCTTGCCTCAAAAGGGGGAGACTTAAAATATTACCATTTTCCACTTGCTTCTGTAGTTTTAAAAAGCTATATGAATGGTTACAGATAATGATACCATTTAAATGAGGTTTTATATGTTTTGTTGTTCTTGAGAGGAGAAAAGAAACTAGTAATTTAAGCTAACCAGAAAATATAGGAAAGGGAAATATAAACAAGATAACACAAGGAAAACTAGTTATATCAGCTATGGCCATGTAATTAGGTCAAACATCTTTTAAATAGGTGTGAATGAGTCAGAAAGCAGAATCCAGGTTTTGGTCATCTGCCAGAGACCCATGTAAAGTCTAATAACATAAAAAATAAAAATGGGGGCCAGACTTGGCAGCTCATGCCTGTAATTCCAGCACTTTGGGAACCTGAGGTGGGAGGATTGCTTGAGCCCCGAAAATTGAGCCTATGGTGAGCTATGATCATGCTACTGTACTTCTGCTTGGGCAATGGAACAAGACCCTGTCTCATAAATAATAAATAAATAAAAAAGAGATAAAGAAGGGACAAATATATATTAAATAAATGCATACGTAAAGAAAGCAAGAATTATACTTAAATTGCACTAGTGGAAAGTATTAAGATAAAATGATAAAGGTATTGAGATATCAGTGAAGATTTGGTACACATAAATCTTTGTTTATTAAATATTAGAAAACGTCAAGAAATATGGGAATTATAAGATATCTTTATTAGTACTGCTAAGTCAGATAAATGATAATAAAAGCATAAATGATCTGTTTAATAAGGTTGATTTAATGTCTATGTTTTCCATTTTGTATCATATAGCAAATATATCCTTCTCCTCCAATTCTTAAAAAGCTTTGCCAAAGTGATCCTATATGAGTTACAGATAAATATTTAATAAATTCCCAAAGCATAACTTTTATGAGTTTTATTTTCAAATTTGTAGGCTCTGTGATACTGGGCAAATGTCTTAACTCTCGTATGCCTCAGTTTCCTCATTTGTAAAATCAGAATAAAAACCATGTTTGGGTGTTTTGGAAATTAAACTGCATGGTATTAAATTACTGTTAGCTATTATTCTATATCCCAGAAATTAATCATAGGTTTAAAAAAATTTTCACAGAATTTCAAAATAGCATCCTTTTGAGTAACTTCTAGCAGAATGAGAAAATCTAAACAAGTATAGCTACTTTCAAAAGTAAGCACGGCAATCAGCCAACATATTATATATTTTAAGATGTAATAAGCTTTTAATCAGAATTTATAGCCTAAATGGATTTATTGGTATTTCAAAAGAATGAACACTTATGAATTAATTAATTTGACTGAAGTAATTGCAAAAAGAACAGCCAGTTAACTCCAAAGAAAGCAAACTGGCCAAAATAAAGAACAAAAACAAAATTCCCCCAAATTACTGGAACTAACAGAGTTCATTCAGTCTTGTTGCAATAGATACGTAAAATAAAATAAAAACGGAGGCCACGCATTTTTATCTACTGGAAAACAAGTGAGATTATACTGGAAAAACAGTATTTTCATATACTGGAAAAACAAACCAGATTATATAACATTTCCCTAAATGCATAAAAGATTCTTACAAATCCAATTTAGAAAAAAATATGAATGACCTCTCAAAACTAGCTGTGAGACATGAACAGGAAATGTATTAAGAAATAACCAAAACAAAAGACACTGGCCAAAGGTGGAAGAAATCCCACAAGAAATCATTAAAAACAGTGAAGTTTGTTTGTTTGGTCTGTTTTTGTCTCTCAGTTTTGCAAAGGTTATGAAGATTGAGCAAATTCAGTGCTATGGAGGGAAATATCATTCATACACTATCGATGGAGGGTTAGTACAGTTTGGAAGGTAGTTGGGGAAAATGTATTAACATTCATTCCTTCCTTCATTGATTCATTTATTCATTTATGGATTGATTGATTGATTGATTGAGACAGAGTCTCACTCTGTTGCCTATGCTGGAGTGCAGTGGCGCAATCTCAGCTCACTGCAATCTCCACCTCCCAGGTTTAAGTGATTTTCCTACCTCAGCCTCCTGAGTAGCTGGGATTACGGGTGCAAGCCACCACGCCTGGCTAATTTTTCTATTTTTAGAAGAGATGGGGGTTTCACCATGTTGGCCAGGATGGTCTTGAACTCCTGACCTCAAGTGATCCGCCTGCCTTGGCCTCCCAAAGTGCTGGGATTACAGGCATGAGCCACCGCGCCTGGCCTCCACATTTAAAAGCATATACTGTTAAACTGAGGAATTATACTTCTGAGAACTTATTCCAGGGAAAAGTTGGTAAAGCAGGTAAAGACATAGATGGGTGTGTACTAAACGCATTTTAGTTTCGTGTTAAAGGAATACATTAAATTATACTACATTTATGTGACATAAAACTATGCAGCCACTAAAAGTTGATGTAGGTACATATTTATTAATAGGAAACAACACCTGTAATCCACTGAGTGGAAAAGAGCAGATTTGTTAAATCTTACTTATTTAAAACTATATATTTATACACATAATTAGATATGTAGAAGGATGGTTTCTAGAGGATATTACGTGTGATTGAAGATAGTCATACATTTAACAAAAAAAATGCTGAAATGATATGAAGAAAACTATGAAGTCCCTGAAGAGAAATCTGTCTCTGATTTGAGTGAGGAAGAGACAGCCTATGTTTGTGCCTGGGGACTATAGGTTTGTAAACATGTCAATTCTCCCTATGCTAATTTATAGAGTACAATCACAATAAAAATACCGGAAAGTAAGTTAAAAGAAAAAGCACCCTGAAGAACTTCTTAATTTTTAATGTGAAAGATACCCTTGAGGTCTTCTTTTGATTCCCTCTGCAGAGGCAACCATTGTTATGAAGTTGATTTACATTTTTCTTATTTATGCCTTTTTACTTTATAATGTGCATCTCTGTCCACATACCTTTTGGGTTCAACTCCTTTTTCTATTTTCTATTAGATTGATAAAGTTTTTCTCTATTCCCTATTTTTTTCTAGGCTGCTTTGGAGGCTCTGGATTCATTGGTTAACTTTAATTGTGACATATATATTGTATCTATTATATATTTAATATATAAAATATATAATGTATAAAATTATATATTATATATCTATTGTATATAATAGATATATATTTAAACATATATATTATATATAAAATATATATGATATATAATATAGAATAAATATATAATATATATGTTTAAATATATATTATATCTATATATAATAGATATAATATATACTTTTATATATTATATATTTTATGTATTAAATATATTTTATATATTTTATGTATTAAATATATTTTATATATTTTATGTATTAAATATATTTTATATATTTTATGTATTAAATATATTTTATATATTTTATGTATTAAATATATTTTATATATTTTATGTATTAAATATATTTTATATATTTTATATATATTAAATGTATAATATATATATATATGTTTTTGAGACAGCCTTGCTCTGTTGCCTGGGCTGGAGTGCAGTGGTGGGATCTCAGCTCTCAGCTCACTGCAGCCTCCATCTCTGGGGTTCAAGCGATTCTCCTGCCTCAGCCTCCCGAGTAGCTGGGATTATAGGCACTGGCCACCATGCCCGGCTAATTTTTGTATTTTTAGTAGAGACAGGGTTTCACCATGTTGGCCAGGCTAGTCTCGAACTCCTGGACTCAAGTGATCCACCCACCTTGGCCTCCCAAAGTGCTGGGATTACAGGCGTGAGCCACTGTGCCGGGCTGTGACAACTATACTTTATCAGTGAGGATTCAGTCAGGGACCAGAGACACTAATGAGTGTTATGGCTGGATATAAAACTTTTGACTCATATTTTTTTGCCATCCGTGGAAAGCAAAGGGAGCTTATCCACATTCCCCCCGTGCCCACATCCAGCATCTCGTTTACTCTAACCCTCTCTGCAATCAGATATTGTGATTATTGACGCTAGTAACGTCTTGGAAAAGGAGCACTGAAGCCATGTTTCTCCTGGAGAACTTGCATGGTACCCTGGAAGCTGCAGCACTTTTCTCACTCACAGGTTGTCCAGGATGTTTCAAGGCAGACCTGGGTGTGTGTGTGTGTGTGTGTGTGTGTGTGTTTGGAGTCTTGCTCTATTACCCAGGCTGGAGTGGAGTGGCATGATCTCGGCTCATGGCAACTTCTGTCTCCCTGGTTCAAGTGATTCTCCTGCCTCAGCCTCCCGAGTAGCTGGGATTATAGGCACCAGCCACCGCGCCTGGCTAATTTGTGTATTTTTAGTAGAGACGGGGTTTCACCATGTTGGCCAGGCTGGTCTTGAACTCCTGACCTCAAGTGATCCACCCACCTTGGCCTCCCAAAGTGGTGGGATTAGAGGTGTGAGCCACTGTGCCCAGCTGCAGATTTTTTATAGTATTTTGGAGTCAAAGGCCAACCATGATTCTGGAGGGGCACCAGGTGGGCAGTATTCTGAGTATCCATTCCTTTGGTAGCACTTTCTGGACACATGCGTGAGCCAGGTACTGTGCTGATGATCACAAGACAAATGTTCCAAGTCACAGTTTCAGGTGGAAGACAGGCCCACATTTACTATATACTATGCAGTGTAAGTACTTTAGTCAGTAGTCAATAAAGAGCTTTAGTCAGTAAGGAGACTGAGAAAGCAGAGAAGGGATCAAGAAATTCTACCTTGAGAAGCTGAGGTTTGACATCACAATGGGCCCCAGGACAGCAAAGGCAGTGGGAAATACTGTCAAAGATGAAGTTTTGTCTGCATTGTTGGTGCTTTTGAGGAAATTGTCACTACTCTGTAGCAGCAGATATTGGGGCCAGGTAGTAGAAGGATGGGCCTGACCACATGCAAAGTAAATGTGAACTGCCCAGCATACTGCAAGGCAGTTTATCTGGGAAGGCGGTAGCTGTGGCTGGGATAAATTTGCATCTCCACGTGGAATATCTGTAATGGCTGTTAGCATGTTGAAAGGAAGCTCAAGCAGCAGGGAGGCCTGGGAACAAAAGTACAGCTGTAAGGAATGGGCTTAGGAACAGAATGAACTGACTCAATGGAATACGGTAGGATTGTGGGTCCAGGGAAGCTGGGATAGGTGACAAGATAGGTTGCTGTTATGAGTTGAATTGTGTCCCCCTACCCAAAATATATGTTAAAGTCCTAAACCCCAGTACTTCAGAATGTGATTTATTGGGAGACTGTTTCTTTACAGAGGTAATTAGTTACGATGAGGTCATACTAGAGTAGGGCAGGCCCCTAGTTCAATATGACTGGTGTCCCTCTAAGAAAACAGCCATGTGAAGACATAGAGACAACGAGAATGCTGTGTGAAAACATAGGCAGAGATTGGAGTGATGTGGCCACAAGCCAGAGAAACAGAAGGCAAAGTTGGAGGGAGTGTTGTCACAAGCCAAGGAATGCCAGCAGCTACCAGAAACCGGAAGGGCAAGGAATGCATTCTCCCCAGAGCCTTCAGAGGAAGCATGACTCTGCTAACACCATGATTCACAATTCTGGCCTCCAAGAACAGAGAGAATAAGCCTCTATTGTTTAAACCACCTGGTTTGTCCTAATTCGTTATTGCAGCCACAGGAAACTAATACAGAAGGCTAAAATGAAAACGATGGTAAGAAGTACTGTCAAGGATGTGTGGAAATTGGAATCCTCTTAGATTACTGGTGGGAATGTAAGATGGTGCAGCTCCTTGGGAAAATGGTTTGACAATTCCCTATAATGTTAAAAATGGAGTTACCATAAGAACTAGAAATCTCACACCTATGTGTGTACTCAAGAGAAATGAATATATACATCGTCACATAAAATTGCTCATGAATGTTCATAGCATGTCTATTTGTAATAACCAAAATGTGGACACAAATCAAATGCCCACTGATGAGTGGATAAACAAAATGTGGTGTATCCATACAGTGGGATATTATTTGGCAATAAAAAGGAATGAATAATAACGTGCTACAACATGGTTAAACCTTAAAAACATTATGCAAAGTAAGAGGCCAGACATAGACTATGTATTGTATGATTCCATTAATATGAAATGTGTAAAATAGGCAAATCCATGGAGACTCAATTTGATTAGTGTTTGCCTGGGGCTAAGGAGAGGGAGAGTAGGGAATGACTGCTAATGGATATAGGTTTTCTTTTTATAGTGATGAAAATGTACTAAAATAGTAGTCATGGATTCACAGTTCCAAAAACCATTGAATTTTATTTTTTGAAAGGGTTGATTTTATTGTTGTCAAGACAGAGACCTTGGCAGAGATCCTTTTAAGTAGAGCAAGATTATAAGGCATTCCTTCTTCTCTTCCTTCATTCATTAAACATACCTTTGTTTATTGTCTATTACGTGCTAGGTCTTCTTCTAATCTATGAGAATATAGTGGTTCACCAGCCTGACAACTTGCTTACTCCCTTGGAATTTGCATTCCATCAACAATGGGAAAGAAAACCCAGAAAATTATCAAGTATCAGGTCATACCATGGTAGCATTTTTATTACTACTCCCTGGGCATGAAATTAGTGTACAAAGTTAGAATGACCACCAGCAGGTTGGTAGATAATTTTCTCCCAAAAGGACCATGGAAGTATCCCTTACTTCCTTCCTTCTCCTTTCTTTGTCCTATTTCAAGACAAGTTTTCACTCTGTTGTCCAGGCTGGAGTGCAGTGATGCCACCATAGCTTACGGGAACCTTGAACTCCTTGGTTCAAGTGATCCTCCCACCTCAGCCTCCAAAGTAGCTGAGACTACAGGTGTGAGCCACCACACCCAACTAATTAAAAAAATTTTTTTTTTTTTTTTTTTTTGTAGAGGCTGGGTGCAGTGGCTCACACCTGTAATCCCAGTACTTTGAGAGGCTGAGGGAGGAGGATAGTTTGAGGCCACCATGACTTCTCCCTTTTTGCAGGGAGATTTTTTTACACATCTTCAAGAAACTCCTTTTCTAGAATGTGTGCTCAGACCTCCACACCAAACTGTAGGTTTCCAGAGAGGATGGGAAGAGTGGCTTGGTGAAGAATGGGCACAGTCGGCCTGGGCAGAGGTTTTGCTGCTTCTCCAAAGATTCTTCCAATGCTGTGACTTGGTACAATTCCTGTCCCTATTTGGGAAGGTCTGGTGATCCTTTTCTGGTTTTTCTTCTAATGATTAATAGTTCTGCAGTTTGATGAGTCATTTTTGCTTCTGTTTGTAGAAGAGGTGCAGTATATTCAGGCTGAGAAAAACAACAAGGGCCCAATGGAGGCTGCCACACTTTTTCTCAAGTTCCTGTTGGAGCTCCAGGAGGAAGGCTGGTTCCGTGGCTTTTTGGATGCCCTAGACCATGCAGGTTAGTTCATTCTTTTTAATCACAAATCAGAGGATATTACTTTGCTGCTTGACAATACTGTAAAAGTGAAAAGCTATTAAATTTGAAGTATCCACTTATAGTTCATGCCTCTTAGTCTGAGACAATGTAAAGACTGTTTTTAGGCAGATGATATAATTGTCTACCTGAAACATCCAACAAAAGAATCTGCAGAGAGATTATTGTCACTAATGGAAGAGTTTAGCAAGATTATTTGGATATAAGACCAGTATACAAAAATTAGTTGCATTTCTGCCCAATGGAAGCAAACAAAAAATGTAATCCAAAATGAAGTATCATTTTTAATAATAACAATTGTAATGTATTTAGGAATAAATCTAACAAAAGATGTATAAGGTCTGAATGGAGAAAATGATAAAATGTTATTAAAAGATATTAAAGAAGTCCTAAATGGAAAAACATACCCATGCACATAGAGAAGGAGGCTTGAGATCATAAAAATATCAGTTCTCCCTACATTGATCTGTATATTCAATATAATTCTAATAAAAATCCTACATACTTTTTCAGTGAGTGTGGCAGGTTGATTCTACAATGTATATGGAAGAATTACGACCCAACAATAGTCAAGACACCCCTAAAGAAGACAAATTTAGTAGATTGGGGCTTTTCTTTCTACACGTTAGCATTTATTAGAAAGCTACAGGCATTGAGACAGTGAAATGTTGGTTTTGGCATTGACAAACTGACCATTGAAACAGAATAGAGACCCTCTAATTAGGACCATATCTTTATGGAAACCTGATATATTAGACATCACTGAGAAAAGAGGATTACTGGGAAAGGAGGAGCTATTCAAAAAATAGCATTTATAAACAGAATAATATTAAAAGCCGAACAAACTCAAGCTGGACATGGTGGCGTGTGCCTGTAGTCCCAGCCTCTCAGGAGGCTGAGGCAGGAGGACTGCTAGAGTCCAGGAGTTTGAGGCTGCAGTGAGCTATGATGGCGCTGCTGCACTCCAGCCTGGGCAACATAGGGAGACCCCTGTATTTAAAAAACAAACCCTGGGCCGGGTGTGGTGGCTCACACCTGTAATCCCAGCACTTTGGGAGGATGAGGCAGGCAGATTACCTGACGTCAGGAGTTTGAGAACAGCCTGGACAACTTGGCAAAACCCTGTCTTTACTAAAAATACAAAAATTAGCCAGGCGTGGTGGTGGGCACCTGTAATCCCAGCTACCCGGGAGGCTGAGGAAGGAGAATTGCTTGAACCCAGGAGGCAGAGGTTGCAGTGAGCTGAGATTGCGCCATTGCACTCCAGCTTGGGCAATGAGTGAAACTCCTTCTCAAATTTAAATAAATAAATAAATAAATAAACCCTGTATTTAAAAAACAAACGCTAACTTTTATGCCCATGTGGGTACGAATAAATAAATACATTTGTATTCCTTACATCATGTTTATCAAAAACACTATAAAGAAAGCAAAAAAAAAAAAAAAAAAAAACAAATCACAAACTCTGGGAGAAGATATTTTCAAAATGTATAATCACCAAAGGATTAGAATCTAGAATATATTAAAAAAAGTCTTAAAATCAACTGGAAAAAGAAAGAAAACATACATAGAGCAAAAAATTTGGACAAACATTTCAATGAATACGAAGAATGAAAAGTGAATAAATGTAAAAGATTCTCAGCCCAATTAGGAATTTGGGAATTGTAAATTAGGAACACAGTGAGATAACATTTTATAACTACTGAATAGCAAAACTGAAGTCCAACAGTGCTAAGGCTTAAAGAAGATATTTAATGGAAATCTTTTTTTTTTTTTTTTTTTTTTTGAGACAGAGTCTCGCTCTGTTGCCCAGGCTGGAGTGCAATGGCACGATCTTGGCTCACTGCAACCTCCGCCTCCCGGGTTCGAGCTATTTTCATGTCTCAGCCTCCTGAGTAGCTGGGATTACAGGTGGCCACCACCACATCTGGCTAATTATTGTATTTTTAGTAGAGATGGGGTTTTGCCACATTGGTCAGGTTGGCCTCCAACTCCTGACCTCAGGTGATCCACCTGCCTCAGCCTCCCAAAGTGTTGAGATTACAGGCATGAGCCACTGCACCCAGCTGGAATATGGTGGTTCTTAAGTTGGATAGTAGGTTCACATATGTTCCTTTTCTTGTTATACTCTTTATTATATATGTTGCAAATATTCTGGTACATGCATCAAATATTACATAATTTTTACATTTCTGTTTTCAGAGCTATGGTGTTTTCTATCAACAGAAGAATCATGAAGTTCATAAATTTGGAAAGGAGAGCTTTATTTTTCATAAAGGGTTGCAGTCTGCATGGTGGCCATTTTGACAGGCTGGGAAGTGTAGCCTCGGGCCAGAAGCAGGAAACAGGCACTTGGAGGGTGGGGAGAGTAAAACAGAGATTTATGCTGAATAGGGTGACCAAATATTCAGTAAGCTACAGGAGGAGTCATGAAAGTAGAAGCATGCACCTGGGCAGGTGAGCTTCATGCCTTTCTATGGGACCCATGTTCAAAAACTGGCAGTGTTAGCAAGATCCAAGGGTGGAGTTTTTGGCCCTCTGATGTCAGAAGGTGAAGCAGAGGACATGAAAACTCTCACTGCACATCCTTCATAGACTGGCCAGACCCACTCTGTGGTTGGTGGTCTCTTATCAGGAAGAAGTGCTGGTTGGTTGGTGTGTTGAAACTGCTAAAGGGAGGGGCAGTCAGGAGGTTGGTTGAAATCAGCAATGGAGCAAGTCTTTCCAAAGGGCTGGTTTCTGTTTCTCATCAGAGAAAGCACTGTTTCTCCACTTTGGGGATATGATTAATCTGGATATTATAAGTTATTTTAATCCTTACCAACCTGTCAGGTAAAAACAGTACTTTTAATTTTCATTTTAAAAATTGAATAAGGTTTAGTATTGGAAGTCCTAGCTGGAGCAGTTAGGCAAGAAAAAGAAAGACAAGGTATCCAAATTGGAAAGGAAGAAGGAAAATAATCTGTTTGCAGATGGCAGAATTATTTATTTATTTATTTATTCATTCATTCATTTTTTGAGACGGAGTCTCGCTCTGTCGCCCAGGCTGGATGGAGTGCAGTGGCGCAATCTCGGCTCACTGCAAGCTCCGCCTCCTGGGTTCATGCCATTCTCCTGCCTCAGCCTCCCGAGTAGCTGGGACTACAGGTGCTCGCCGCCATGCCTGGCTAATTTTTTGTATTTTTAGTAGAGACGGGGTTTCACCGTGTTAACCAGGATGGTCTCAATCTCCTGACCTTGTGATCCGCCTGCCTCGGCCTCCCAAAGTGCTTGGATTACAGGCGTGAGCCACTGCGCCCAGCCGATGGCAGAATCTTATATGTAGAAAACCCTAAAGATTTTAGAAAAAACTATTAGAACTAATTCAGAAAAGTTTCAGGACACAAAATCAACACCTCAAAATTAGTCGCATGTCTATATATTAACAAATAATCCAAAAAAGAAATTAAGGTAACAATTCCATTTATAATAGCATTAAAAAGATTAAAATACTTAGGAAGAAACCTAACCAAGGAGATAAAAGACTCATACCCTGGAAACAACAAAACATTGCTGAAAGAATGAAAGATAACACAAATAAATGGAAAGACATCCCCATTCATGAATTAAAGACTTAAGTTGCCTATACTACCAAAAGCGAACTGCAGATTCAATGCAATCCCTATCAAAATCGCAATGGCATTTTTTTTGTAGAAATAGAAAAAATTATCCAAAATTTATAGAGAATCTCAAGGCATCTTGAATAGGTAAAATTTTGATAATGAAGAATAAACCAGGAGGCCTCACCTCTCCTAATTTCAAAACACATTACACATCTGTAGCAATCAAAATGATGTGGCACTGCCATAAAGACAGACAAATAGGCCAAAAGAGCACCCAGAAATAAATTCTCAAGTATATGCTCAAAGATACCAAGACCACTCAATGGGGAAAGGACAGTCTCTTCAGCAAATGTTGTTGGGAAAACTGGATATCCATATGCAAAAGAATGAATTTTGACACTTATACCATGTATTAGAGTTCTCCAGAGAAACAAAAGCAATAGGATATATTTATGTGTGTGTACATATGATGGGATATGTATACACATTGTTACTTACATGTATGTGTATATATATTTTTGGAATTGGCTCACATGATTGTGGAGGCTGAGATGTCCCATGATCTGCTGTCCACAATCTGGAGAATCAGAAGAGCAGTTGGTGTAATTCAGAGTCTGAAGGCCTGAGAACCAGGACCTCTGATGTCCAAGGGCAAAAGAAATGATGAGCTCAAGAAAAGAGAATTTGCCCTTCTTCTCCCTTTTTGTTCTGTTTTGGTCTTTAATGGATTGGATGATGTCTGCACACATCAGTGAGGGTGAATTTCTTTATTCAGTCTGATTCAAATGATAATCTGTTCTGAAAACACCCTTACAGACACACCCAAAAGTAATGTTTTACCAGCTATCTGGGCATCCCTAAGCCCAGTCAAGTTGACACAGAAAATTAACCATCACACACTATATACAAAATCAAATCAAAATGCATTAAAGAGCAAATATAAGACCTAAAACTATTAAAACTCCTAGAAGAAAGCATAGGGGAAAAACTTCATGACACTGGAATTGGCAGTGATTTCTTGGACATGATATCAGAAGCATAAGCAACAAAAGTGAAAAAATAGACAAATGGGACTATATGAAACTTATGTGCCTCAAAGGACATAATAGGGTGAAAAGTCAACCCATGGAATGAGAGAAAATGTTTGCAAATCATATACCTGATAAGGGGTTAATATGTAGACTATATCAAGAACTCCTGCAACTCAAAGACAAAAAATCAAATTAAAAAATAGGCAATCCCAGCACTTTGGGAGGCTGAGGCAGGTGGATCACCTGAGGTCAGGAGTTCAAGACCAGCCTGGCCAACATGGCAAAACCCTGTCTCTACTAAAAGTACACATAGCTGGGCGTGGTGTCACACGCCTGTAGTCCCAGCTACTCGGGAGGCTGTGGCAGGAGAATTGCTTGAACCCAGGAGGTGGATGTTGCAGTGAGCAGAGATCATGCCACTGCACTCCAGCCTGGGTGACAGAGCGAGACTCCATCTCAAAAAAAAAAAAAAAAAAGGCAAAGGACTTGAATAGACATTTATCCAAATATGATATACAAATGGCTAATGAGCATATGGAAAGATATTCAACATCAGTAATCATCAGAGAAATTCAAAGCCATAATGCAATATCACCTCACCCCCATTACAATGGCTTCTATAAAAACAAAAACAAAGCTGGGCACAGTGGCTCATGCCTGTAATCCCAGCACTTTGGAAGGCCGAGGCGGGTGGATCGTGAGGTCAGGAGTTCAAGACCAGCCTGGCCAAGATGGTGAAACCCCATCTCTACTAAAAAATACAAAAATTAGCTGGGTGCGGTGGCGGGTGCCTGTAATCCCAGCTACTCAGGAGGCTGAGGCAGGAGAATTGCTTGAACCCGGGAGGCAGAGTTTGCAGTGAGCCGAGATCGTGCCACTGCACTCTAGCCTGGGTGACAGAGCAAGACTCTGCCTCAAAAAATAAAATAAAATAAAAACAGAAAATAATGCATATAGGTGAGGATGTGGAGAAACTGCAACCCTGTGCCTGATTGGTAGGATTGTAAAATGGTGTTAACAGCCATGGAAAACAGTATGGCAGTCCCTCAAAAAATTGAAAATATATATCACCATATGATCCAGCAATTCTGCTTCTGGTGTATTTCCAAAAGAATTGAAAGCAAGGTATTGATGAGATATTTGCACATCCATGTTGATAGTAGCATTATTCGTGATAGCTTACAAGGTAGAAGCAACTCAAATGTCCATCAGTGATGAATGGATCAACAAAATGTGATATACACATACAATGGAATATTATTCAGCCTTAAAAAAAAAAGGAAATCCTGGCACATCCTGCAAAATGGACATACATTGAGGGTGCTGTGCTGAGTGAAATAAGCCAGTCACAAAAAGACAAATATTGTATTTTGCCACCTATATAGATTATCTAAAGTAGTCAGATTCATAGAAACAGAAAGAGTGGTGGTTACCAGGAGCAGGGGTGAGGAGAGAAAAAGGAATAGTTGTTTCATAGAGTTTTAGATTTGCAAGGTGAAAAAGGTCTGGATTTTTTTTTTATAACAAAATGAATTTAACACGACTGAACTGTACATTTAAAAATAGTTAAGATGGTAAATGTTTTATCTGTTTTTTACTACAATTTTAAAAAAGAATGAGGTTGAACATCTTATGTATGTTTCTTGGCCATTAGTATTTTTCTCTGAACTTTCTAAATATGATTTTTAAATAAATATCTTTTAAAGGCATGTAGAATAATATTAAGTAAATTTCCCATTTACTTAATATTATCTTAGAAAAATTAGAAGGAAAGTTCCTTGTGGGCAGGAATTAAGGTTTATATTTCTTTTTGCCTTCTTTACTGCTTTCCACTGAGAAGATACTTAATAAACCTGTTGACTCTGACTTTTTAAAGACAAATCAGGGATTGTAGGTGAAGTCTATGAGTCACTTTGGAAGAAAGATTTTATACTAAGATCAAAATGTAAGACTTCAAAGTTTTCCTTAGTACTTTTTCCCAATAGATAATAAATATTGCTAGAAGACCTAAAGTGTTGGCTGACTAAAATGAATACTGTTTTCTTTTTGAAAAATCAATGACAATTGGGGGTAATTTACAGATATTTTTTGAATTCTACCACCATACATTCAAACATGATTTCTATGATACTAATCTCAAAGTATTTTTCAGTTGGTTTCATAAAAGTCCACATTTTTTTTCTTTTTTTTCAGGTTATTCTGGACTTTATGAAGCCATTGAAAGTTGGGATTTCAAAAAAATTGAAAAGTTGGAGGAGTATAGATTACTTTTAAAACGTTTACAACCAGAATTTAAAACCAGAATTATCCCAACCGATATCATTTCTGATCTGTCTGAATGTTTAATTAATCAGGAATGTGAAGAAATTCTACAGGTAAGTTAATATAAAATACTAAAATTGGGGGAAATAATTATAACATGGGAAGGTCTTCTGTTTTCTATACTGTTTTAGACCTGAGAAAGATCATTGAAACCCACAAAAGTACTCATAGAATAGTACTTTTTTTTTTTTGAGACGGAGTCTCGCTCTGTCGCCCAGGCTGGAGTGCAATGGTGTGATCTCGGCTCATTGCAACCTCCGCCTCCTGAGTTCAACCAATTCTCCTGCCTCGCCTCTCGAGTAGCTGGGATTACAGGTGCGTGCTACCATGCCCAGCTAATTTTTGTATTTTTAGTAGAGATGGGGTTTCACCATGTTGGTCAGGCTGGTCTCGAACTCCTGACCTCGTGATCCACCCGCCTTGGCCTCTCAAAGTGCTGGGATTACAGGCGTGAGCCACCGTGCTCAGCCAGAATAGTACTTTTAATGTGAACTGAGTAATTTTTATGTCACAAAGTTTTTTTGAAGTTTGCCCTATTTTCAGTTAAAATCACCACAGTCTGTGAATAGTATTTTATGCAAATTTAAATTGAACAGTTGAGCAAATGAGAAAGGGCTACAGACTCTAGCAGTTAAGTGTTTAGACTCTGGACACAGATGAATTTTGTTAGAATCATAGCTCAACCACTAGCGGTATGATCTTGGGCAAGTTACTTAGTTTCTCTGAATATCTATCTGTTTCCTTGTGTGTAAAATGGAAATAATAATGTTACCTTATAATATGGTATTTTCATAAGGGTAATGAGATAATATATGTAAAGTACTCATGTATGTCTTGCACAGAGTATGTGTACAATAAACTTTAGTTATTATGGTTAGTAAAAGTCATACAAATTCCTCAACCCTGAAGAAAAATTTGTTAATATTTTGTTATCTGTTTCCAAATATTGCTATATGCCAATATACCCATATTGGGAATGGTTGTCAAATGATTATTTTCTTAATATTGCTGATGAGGATAGGTATAAGAACTTAGAGGTGATGAGAAGGCTTGGCTTGACATAGTGACATCATGTGTAAAGGACAAAGATGAAGGAAAAAGTATCTTAAAAGACTGTGTTGGATGGGGCAAAAATTGTCATGGATATGACCCACTGAGCTGTAATGTACAATGGCTTTAAATCAGATAGTACATGACTGACATTTCTTCAGTAAAAATTGATAAAGGGAAAACTTTTGAGATAATTGATCAATAAACTACAGTTACCTTGCTTAGATTTGCTCTACTAAGGGGATGATGGCAGGTGCAGAGAAATTGGTGGAATGCCTTCTCAGATCAGACAAGGAAAACTGGCCCAAAACTTTGAAACTTGCTTTGGAGAAAGAAAGGAACAAGTTCAGTGAACTGTGGATTGTAGAGAAAGGTAAGACACTGTACCCTCCTCACAGCTCTACTTAGGACTCGCTCATTCCAACCGGTCTTTTACATCCCATCAGAGGCGTTTTTCCCCTCAGATAGCCAGAGCTACATCTCTAACGCGAGACCAGCAGGAAGCTGGATTCTGGGAGGGAGGCAGTTACTTGCCTACAAAATTAGTTTGGTTGCATATAACCCCTAAAAATGGACTGGGGAAAACCACTCTCATCCAGAATTAGCCCATCTGGCCCAAAGGATTTGAGGAAGGCAAAATCCGAACTCTCAGTCTAAGTTTAGATTATCAGAGAAATAGCTTGAGAATTCTAGAGTTAAAGGTTCAAACTCCAGGACTTACCCCCTTTTCAGAGTTGATTTCTTGACAGACATTGCCTGGTTCTCTTACTGGAAGCCATCTGGAACTGAATCCGACGGGTGAAAGAATTGGTTGTCATTAAGTGTCTGAACTATCATTTGGTTTCTTGAAGCTGACACTCAGCATTGTTTCAAAGGCTGAGTTTGGTAAACATCTGAATATCTGGTCTTAGCTTTCCTAGGCTTCTTTAGATCATAAGTTGTTTCAGAAACTGTATAAATACACATCTGATTTAATGGGTCAAGAGTCAGTCAGAAAAGGAAGACATGAATGTCTGCTAAATCATGCTCTTTTTTTTTTTTTTTTTTTTTGGTGCATACGAATCCCTCCGAGGTCTTGTTAAAATGTGGATTCTGATTCAGTAGGGCAATACGTTCCACACTTTGAGTAATATAGCTCTAAATTACATTGGAGGTCAACGCCAAATTGAGATTTTAAACTCAAAATGATTCTTTCAACTGTTTTAAAAGGTGAAGGGGAGTGGTTGTGAGAAATTTTAATAGAAGTTAAAAATCTTAGTGTTATGACCATTTTGTGGAGCTTTCACCATCAAAACTATAATCAGATTATGTGAAGATTCTAAGACTTTTTTGGTCTTAAAAAGGTATAAAAGATGTTGAAACAGAAGATCTTGAGGATAAGATGGAAACTTCTGACATACAGATTTTCTACCAAGAAGATCCAGAATGCCAGAATCTTAGTGAGAATTCATGTCCACCTTCAGGTACCTGGTATTGTTTGTCCTTTTCCATAATGGTGCTCTTCTGGTATTTGGTGTGGGGGCTTGTTTTGCAGTACCCAAAGTCACAGCCTTGTGAAAAGTTTTGTAAGGAAAATTAAGAAAGTAAAGAGAATTTATGTTACAATAGATACTTTTTCTATATTTAGAATGCCATTCTCTCCTAGTTCTTCCACTATCTTTTTTTCTTCTTTTACTATCTTTTTTTTCTTCTTCTACCACTAAGAAAGTATGGGCGTGTCTATATTGGAAATGCAAATAGAGTCTTCACCAAAACCCAATGTCTATGAATTCCCAAATCAACCTTGCTTTCTAAATAAATACTACTTCTATTTCTGAGTCACTTGCTCAATTTCCTTTTAGGATCCCTGGGCTGCCCTGCAAGTTGATGAAGTTAGTGTGCTACCCAAATGCGCCTGGCTGAGAGGTTGAGTAGGGGCTGAGATCCAGCCTGTGTCGTTTGCAACACAGTGCACTGAGGGGCTGTGTCCTCCAAGAGGAGCTCCCTTTTGTCATTTACACAAAGGCACTGTATAAGTTAGCTGTGGCCCTGTGAGGCCCCCTTATGCTTCTCAAAGCATATTTTCTTGATGGTTTTATGAGACCGGCAAGTTGCATAATATGCCATAATAAAAAGTTATGTATAAAAGAGTATCAGGAAGGAAATTGGGATTAATAGTGGTGGTAGAAGAAAAATGATATTAGAATAACATCATAAAGAGAAAATGTGCAGATTACGTCTGCAACTGAATGTTACAAGTTTTTTTGTTTTGTTTTGTTTTTTTGGTCATTTCAGAATAAAATCTGTTACCCCTTGGAAAAAAAAAACAGATACATGAATATGAGTTGCTTTAAATTTTCTGACACGTGAAGATTCTTGCATGCCTTTTGTTGTTGTTGTTGTTATTGTTTTTTGAGACTGAGTCTCTCGCTCTGTTGCTCAGGCTGGCGTGCAGTGGCACAATCTCAGCTCACTGCAACCTTGGGTTCAAGTGATTCTCCTGCCTCAGTCTCCCAAGTAGCTGGGACCACAGGCATGTGCCACCACATCTGGTTAATTTTTGTATTTTTTTTGGAGAGGTGGGGATTTCAGCATGTCGGCCAGGCTGTTCTTGAACTCCTGACCTCAAGTGATCCATCCACCTCAGCCTCCCAAGTGCTGGGATTACAGGCATGAGCCACTGCACCTGGCCTTTACATGTCTTTCGTGTGAGTTTAATTCACTTAACCTTTTAGAAATTCTCCCTTTCTCTAAAATGGGTAGGTTAGACTCAGTAGATAATTTCCAAAGTCTTTGCTAGCTCTTAATGATTTATATGCCTACCTGTTATTGAGATAAAGCCTTTGATTATTTTTTAAAACTTCTGGTTATGTTGAGAGAAAATATCATTTGAGAACTTGAAGAACGACAAAGCATTATTGCTCCTTAATAAGAAATTGCTTTGAGAATCCAATGTTAACAGTTTGGTTTTCTTCAAAGATCGTGGGAGGATTTGTTGCTTTTTTCACATACAGCATTGCCTTTAGTAGACAGCTTGTCTTACCCTGAATGGGGCCATTCTTTCTTTGGTTTCTGTTAGCCTTCCATGATTGTATAAAAAATAATTCATGTTTTTTTTTTTTTCTTTCTTGCCATCAATACTTTGTCACTGAGAGAATTCTGTACTTCAAATTAGTGGAAAAGCTAGAATGGTTACCAAGAGAAAGGATTCTAAACTTTCTCCAATGAGGATCTTCTTGCTGGAGTCAGAATTTGTGGACATTAGACTGTAGCTATTGCCGTGATTCCTCAGAGCAGGAACTGTTTGGTAATTTTGCTCCTTTTGTATTCCAGAAGTGTCTGATACAAACTTGTACAGCCCATTTAAACCAAGAAATTACCAATTAGAGCTTGCTTTGCCTGCTATGAAAGGAAAAAACACAATAATATGTGCTCCTACAGGTAAGCCTATTGCCATTACTTACATAGTTTTTCTGTTTGCTTCCTTTTTTTTCTTTTGTTGAATACTGGGACAGAATGGGCAAGTTTCAGTTTTTTCCTTGTTCCATGTGTCTTTTGAGAAAACTGTCCTAATATAATCCTAATGTTTTTTATGGGATTATGTAATTAATTAATTATGTACATTAATGTATTTAATGTATTTTCTTTACCTTTCATGAGAAGGTAAAGAAAAGTGTCCTCTTTTAGCTTGCTTTTGGGTCCTGGCTGTTGGCATGCTACTTAGGGAGCAGCTTGATATTTTTTAGTCATAGTGTAAATTCTGTAATCATTAACATATTTAAATTATCAATTAATTAGTCAGCTCAGTGGTATTAGAAGAGCCAAAAATAAACACCTTTCCAGAGAAATATCTAATATATGAGTTACATGTTTTCTTTTTTCCTTACATGTTAAAAGGTTGTGGAAAAACCTTTGTTTCACTGCTTATATGTGAACATCATCTTAAAAAATTCCCACAAGGACAAAAGGGGAAAGTTGTCTTTTTTGCGAATCAGATCCCAGTGTATGAACAGCAGAAATCTGTATTCTCAAAATACTTTGAAAGACATGGGTAGGTATAATAGTTGCTTCAACTTCTTTTTCTCCAGCTTCATGTAATTGATGTGTTTTCTGTTTTGTTTTTGACAAATGATTTAAAAAAATTTATATTAGATTCAGCTTTTTTATAATCCAGATGTTATCCCTTCATGGATTCAAGTCTTTTTTGTTAGATGTACCAGAAAACTTAAACTCCCCTGGTTTGCCCTTCTATGGGGAGTAAATGACTTCAGGAATAAATTTGATGTTTACGTGGCACATTTAACTTCTTTAGTGATTTTATAATTTATTTGATATTATTCTTTTACGTACTCTTTTCTCTCTTAGTGACTTAAAATAATATATAGTACTATAAATTACAACTAGCTTGGATTTATTGATCTCTTACTATGTGTCAGGCTCTGTGCTAAGGACTTGCCTACAGCTATTCTTCTTTTGGACTCAGGGAGAATTTAATCAGTTGATGTTCTGATCTAGCATTTCATCTTTGTGGTTCCTTATCCACATCGTGGTTAGTAATATGGAATTTCTGTCATTTCCCAGGTATAGAGTTACAGGCATTTCTGGAGCAACAGCTGAGAATGTCCCAGTGGAACAGATTGTTGAGAACAATGACATCATCATTTTAACTCCACAGATTCTTGTGAACAACCTTAAAAAGGGAACGATTCCATCACTATCCATCTTTACTTTGATGATATTTGATGAATGCCACAACACTAGTAAACAACACCCGTACAATATGATCATGTTTAATTATCTAGATCAGAAACTTGGAGGATCTTCAGGCCCACTGCCCCAGGTATCTCCAAAGTCAGACGAATGCTTCAGAAGAGCTATAATCTTCCTAACTCCTATTTTCTTACTCTTATGGCCACACTGAAGATGTCCTTCTCAGGTCCCAAGTCCATATTGTACAACTCATTATGAATTTTGTTTCCTTTATTCATTTGTTCACTTAGTAAATATGCATTATGTGCCTCCATGTGCCATACACTGTGTGTTAGTAAAAACAAAAAAACGCCCTACCCCAGCAGGAAAGAGTTATATGAGGGGTTGTGGAAACATTGTACCATTTCTCAGACATCTAATGATTTTGAATGCTCCTTACAGGTCATTGGGCTGACTGCCTCGGTTGGTGTTGGGGATGCCAAAAACACAGATGAAGCCTTGGATTATATCTGCAAGCTGTGTGCTTCTCTTGATGCGTCAGTGATAGCAACAGTCAAACACAATCTGGAGGAACTGGAGCAAGTTGTTTATAAGCCCCAGAAGTGTAAGTTGGATCCAATAACAAGCCTTTGAGATTCTGTTACTCTCTACTACCTCTAGTTCAGAGCCATCTAGACGAATACTGAACTTTGACCCTCTCTCTGTTTAGTAGAAAATATTTAACCTTGAACTTGAGTAACAGTCACATTTTTTAGCCTCTCTAACTGAGCTCTCATCCCAAGCAATGGATGAACCTCAGAAGTGGCCTGTAGAGAGCAAACATTCTTCCTCTTTGCTTCCAAAAACCTCTTATAAATGTACTAGCAATGCAAAAGAGGTGATGAGAGAATTTAGGCATCAGATAGCCAAGAGCTGGGCTCACTCAGCCTTTTCCCATGCTCTGTGCCTGTGTGGTCATCACTGTTTGAATATGTATTTGATCATTTTAGTTGAAATGGAATGATCTGAATTCATGATGTCACTCCTCCAAAGATCAGATATGATTTTTTAATATGACTAACAGTTGTTTATTGATGTTATTATTACACTAACCCTGAAAGGAAGAGAGGGATACAGAAAATATATATGACTTCACCCTTGCTCTCTGAGTAGTATGTGACTGTATTTCTGAGGTAGAACAAATAGACATGTAATAGGGAGTGGTGTAGATAAGTTCCTTTTTGAAGGCTGCTTGTAAGTAAGGATTTTGATGTACCTGATCCCAACTTTTCAGTGTCACATATGAATTTCTTTACAATCCGGTTCCTCCTGCCCTCTGAGCTTCATCACCTCCAAACATTCATAAACCCAACCATGTTGCATTCCTCTGGGCTCCTCAATCATGCCGTGTGCTTTCTCTCTCCCACCTTTTGTCTGTGCTTCCTTTGTACATCACTGCTCTTTTTTTTTTTTCTTTTTCTTTGCCAAGTTGTGATGGAATATACATGACTACTCTTGCTTTCTTCTTTCTTCTTCCTGTATTTATTCTACAACTCTGACTTCCCTGGAAGAATTAGGTGTTACTTTCCCTGTGTTTTGTGACACTTTGCGTGTACTACTTCTTTTTTTTTTTTTTTTTTTTGAGACAGAGTCTCGTGCTGTTGCCCAGGCTGGAGTGCAGTGGTGCGATCTCGGCTCACTGCAAACCTCCACCTCCTGGGTTCAAGTGATTCTCCTGCCTCAGTCTCCTGAGTAGCTGGAATTACAAGCGTGTGCCATCACGCCTGGCTAATTTTTTGTATTTTTAGTACAGACAGGGTTTCACCATGTTGGCCAGGCTGGTCTTGAATTCCTGACCTCAAGTGATCCACCCTCCTCGGCCTCCCAAAGTGTTAGGATTACAGGTGTGAGCCACCACACCCGGCTACACTTTACATGTACTTCTGTTAGAGAACTGCTACGGTTAGTTAGCCATGTATATTTCTCTCCCTTAAGATCACAGCCCTGTATGGAGCATGAAGTGTGTTCTTTCAACTGTCTATAATCAAAGCATGGCACATTGCAGGCAATTAATAATTAGGCTGAAATAATATATTGATAAATGGTAGGATCAGTGTGAATACTGCTGGGAGCTGTGTGGGGAGGGAGAATATCAAAGCACAGAGACAGGGTTAGATTGTGGCACTTGCAGAGACATGAGAGATGCCCGCCTCATCAGAGAGGAGGTAACAGGACAGCCACAGTAAGAAGCTGGTTAGGCCGGGTGCGGTGGATCACGCTTGTAATCCCAGCACTTTGGGAGGCCAAGGCGGGTGGGTCACCAGCTCAGGAGTTCGAGACCAGCCTGGCCAATATGGTGAAGCCCCGTCTCTACTAAAAATACAAAAATTAGCTGGGCATGGTGGTGTGCGCCTGTTGTCCCAGCTACTTGGGAGGCTGAGGCAGAAGAATCACTTGAACCTGGGAGACGGAGGTTGCAGTGAGCCGAGATCGCGCCACTGTACTCCAGCCTGGGTGACACAGTGAGACTTGGTCTCAATCAAAAAAAAAAAAAAAAAAAAAAAGAAGCTAGTTAGACCTACACCATGAAAGACAGGTGTTAGAATCAGTACAAGAAGCAACAGGGAGCCATTGCATTTTGAGCATTTGTTGTATCATCTGGACCACCTGCCAGTTAGCCTGGAACCTTAGGTTTTTCAGAGGAAGTATCAAAGGCAGAGAAAGGTTTTAGAGATACCTACTTTGAACTACAATCTGTCCTTCCTGAAAATATACTCACTCTTTTTTTCTTTTTCTTTTTTTTTTGACGTCTCTAGTTTTCAGGAAAGTGGAATCACGGATTAGCGACAAATTTAAATACATCATAGCTCAGCTGATGAGGGACACAGAGAGTCTGGCAAAGAGAATCTGCAAAGACCTCGGTGAGATAAATCTCATATTTTGTGTTCTCTCTACTGGGGAATAGCCATTTATTGTTCACTATCGTCTTTTTGTGTTCTCCTTAGTTCAGACAATGTCAAGACCATATCCAGAGGTTGTCTTCCTTGATTATAGGTTATTTAGGAGCCTTATATGTCCTCCTCTATTCTTTCTTTCTTCCTTTTTTTCCTTTTAAATCCAAAGTAAGTTCATCCAGACACATGCACCTGAAAAATAACCATACTTAAGTCAGTTCATTGCTTTCTCTACCTTCTAAATCAGCTTTCCCTCCTGACTTTCCTGTTCACCTGAATGAAACCACCATTCCTCTACTGGCTCAGATTTATATCTAGGGACAATCACCCAGCACATTTCCCAGCATTAAAGGAGTGCGACTAGAGATGGGCCAGGGGAAGACAGTGAAGGGCCTGGATTTGAATTTTATCCTAAAAACAATGGGGAAAAAAGTGAAGATTAAAACTGATTAGTGACGTAATAAAGATACCAGTGAATGAGAAGGACCAAAGAGAGGCAGTAGAGATGGATTGGAGAAGGAAGGAGACACATGTGAGATGCTTCCAACTGTGAGTGTTATGATTGAATGGCTAAACGGATTTGGGTGGGGATGAGAAAGGGGCAGGAGGGGCTGATTTCCCCCCAGGCATCTGGCTTAGGCACCTCTATGAATGCCAGTGGGTGGTCCTGGTACCAGGACTAGAAGCAGCCTTGGCAGGTACAAGGTTTTGAGTTTTGAGTTTTAGGGATGTTAAATGTGACGTCTGTAAGACACCTCATGGAGTGTCTCCTCTCACACTTATTTTGCTTTTCTCTCCCCTTTTCTTTCACAGTTTAATTTCTATTATAATTGTTCTAACAGCCTTCTAGCTGATTTTGCCTACCTCTGCTCTCTCTTCCATTCAACCTCTCATGAACTAGTTAGTCTTCATGAATACATTTTATCATGTCCCTGTCCTGCTTAAAAACCCTTTGCCTACAGGATAATCTTCACGCCTCTAACCTGCAGTCTGAGCCCTGCCTGAACACCCAGGTTCTACTTATCTTTCCAATGTTATATTCTACTACTTCCCTACCTGAATCCTTTTGATTTAGCAGTTTCCCGAATGTGTTCATGCATATGTTCATTCATTTAGTGCTAAGGAATGGGCTAGGTGATGGGAATACAGCATGAACCCTAAGATACAGCCCCTGGCCTCAGGGCATTTCTAGTCTGATGGTAAGACCAAAATTAGAGAAGTAATACTAATACTAAAGCAGCTGGTGTGGTGGGGGTGATAAGGTGTGTTTCAGGCACAGGGAATAGCATATGCAAAGGCCAGGAGACTAGAAAGAGTATAGGGACTTCCATTAGTCCTGTAGAATGCTGAAAGGAGAGTGGCCAGAAATGAGAAGCAAAAGCAAGCAGAGGCCAGAGCATGGGGAGGAGTGTGTGAGCTGGGGCAGGATTTTGGCTGCAGGACCACTAAAGGCTTTTAAGCAGTGGGGTGGGATGATTTCTCATCTGCAATTTTGCAAACTCCCTCTAACCACTGGGTAGAGTATGGGTTAGAGGGAACAAGGCAAGAGGAAGGGAGACCAGTTTGGAGATTGTCATATTATCCAGCAGCACACTGATGTGGTTTGAATTGGGGAAGTAGCAGAAGGATGGAGAGACGGTGATGGAGTCACGTGAGTTTCTATTTTCTTACTCCTCCCACCTCCCGTACCCTGCCTCCACCTTTTTGCCAGTCCGAATCCAGTTAGCTGCTCATCTCTAAACTGCTTAGGCTATTTTTACACCTACCCAGGTTCAATCAGTACCTGTTGGCTCATCTTCTTTACTGCTGGCCACCTCGCTGTAGCTGCAACTTGGAAAGAAGCATGTCAATACTACTTGTTTGGGTAGCCTCCTTTGTTCCTATTATTGAAAATGAATGAGTGAGGGGAAGAATTTAACCCAGAAATACAGCTCTTGCTTGTGACTTTTGTTGTACTGTGCTCTTCATGAGGAGCCCTGGCGAACTGATACCAGAGTAACTCACAGACTCAGCTGCTTGAGAACACAGCCATAGTCTCCTCATCTTATCCCCAGCACCCTACACAGAGCCTGGACCACAGCAGATGCCCCAGCTTTGAACCAAGCAACTGAGGCTTATCCTAGGAGATGCACACAGACAGATGCATGTGTGATAAGTGTCTTTTGAGGGCCGATTCTATGCTTGGCCCTGAGAATGCTGCTCTGGAGAACAGGAGGCCCAAGTTCACAGCAAAGCAGAACATAGGGTGAACTGAGTCCTAAATCTCCTCCTTGATTTTTTTTTTTTTTAAGAGTCTCACTCTGTCGCCAGGCTGGAGTACAGTGACGTGATCTCGGTTCACTGCAACCTCCGTCTCCTGGGTTCAAGCGATTCTCCTGCCTCAGTCTCCTAAGTAGCTGGGACTTCAGGTGCGTGCCACCACCCCCAGCTAATTTTTGTATTTTTAGTAGAAACGGGGTTTCACCCTGTTGGCCAGGGTGATCTCAATCTCTTGACCTCGTGATCCACCCGCCTGGGGCTCCCAAAGTGCTGGGATTACAGGCATGAGCCACTGCGGCCGGCCAATCTCCTGCTTTTATATATCCTCCTCTGATGAAGCTCTTGAGACCTGTTATTTTTACTTCTTCATTTTTAAAGGCAAAGTTGGGTTTTTCATGTCTACTGTTTTATTTCTGGGCTGCTTTGGTTGTCAGCTCATAGAGCCAGTAGAGCTTGGGCATCTGACACATGTGGGTTTGAATTCCTGCCCTTTCTCCACGTACTTGCTGTGTGACTATGGGTAAATTACTTATTACTTGGCTTTTCTGAACTTCAGTTTCCCAATATATGAAATGTAATATGTATCTCATGGGTTGTGAAAATTAAATGAAATTATGAATGTAAGGTACTTTGATTCTTGGTACACAGTACTCAAGAAACAATCAAACACACACACACACACACACACACACACAAACAAACACACAGATGCACTGCTTAAAACTCAAGGGAGGGAACAAGGCAAGAGGTAGGGAGAACAGTTTGGAGGTTGTCATATTATCCAGCAGCACAGTGGTGTTATCTCAATGGGGGAAGGAGCAGAAGGATGGAGAGATGGTGATGGAGTCACATGAGTTTCTATTTTCTTACTCCTCCCACCTCAGGTACCCTGCTTCCACCTTTTCACCAGTCTGAATCCAGTTAAATAGTTTTAACTAGATGACTTAAGACTATTTCAGGAGGAATATCCTGTTTGCAGAGAGTAAGAAAGAAAATTAGGCCAGGTGCAGTGGCTCACGCCTGTAATCCCAGCACTTTGGGAGACCGAGGCAGGCGGATCACCTGAGGTCAGGAGTTTGAAACCAGCTTGACAACATGGTGAAACCCTGTCTCTACTAAAAATACAAAAATTAGCCAGGCGTGATGGCACACGCCTGTAGTCTCAGCTACTTAGCAGGCTGAGGCAGGAGAATCGCTTGAATCCGGGAGGTGGAGGTTGCGGTGAGCCAAGATCGTGCCATTGTACTACAGCCTGGGCATCAGAGCGAGACTCTGCCTCGAGGAAAAAAAAAAAGAAAAAGAAAATTAGAGGGTGAGGCCTGTTTATAACCCTAAATGACTGACCATATGAGACAGTGAAAAACTTTTTTTTTTTTTTTTAACAGAAAACTTATCTCAAATTCAAAATAGGGAATTTGGAACACAGAAATATGAACAATGGATTGTTACAGTTCAGAAAGCATGCATGGTGTTCCAGATGCCAGACAAAGATGAAGAGAGCAGGATTTGTAAAGCCCTGTTTTTATACACTTCACATTTGCGGGTACGTTCCTCTTTTTAAGAGTCGTATTCTGGTCACAGCACCTACTGGGAGTGGCACCGTGGAAGCCAAGATAACATCAACTTCTCATCCTGTCCTCAAGAGCTCACTTAGGAACCTTTCCAGAAAGTTCTTATGAAGCAAACTCCAAAAGTTGTCCCATTCAACATCATCTCGATTTCCTTTCTGAAATTTCATACTGCAGGCAACAGGACTGAAATAAAGGCTCAGATTCTATGCCATGCCTCTAGCATTAACTGACATGGTTGGAAAAAATTGGGTGATTGTGAGAGAACATTATTCCAGATACAAGACCAGTCCAGTGACAGCATCTTGAAAGCTCAGCAAGTGGAAAGTTCTGTTGCTATGTCCTGAAGCACACATTTCTTCACCTTTGGTGACGCCCCATGCTCAGAAATCCAGGTTCTCTGGCTCACCAAGAAGTTAAGGAACTATAGTGACAGCTATCACCTCTGCTTATCCAGCCATTGAAAATATATTAAAATGCATTCAATTAGCATGCATTTGTAGAATTTTAGTTAGCTTAGTTGTACATTTGATGGATGTGGTCAGGGCCATCATTTTGGAAGGTACACTGACAATTTAGTGATGGCTTCAGATGTATATAGAAATCAAGTGAAATGTTGGAATTATGAGGCAGGTTGATGTGGAAGTTGATTTACTTTCCTTATTTTTAAATTTTGATATGTGTTTTTCGTGCAGTTTTTCTTTTCTAAGGTAAAATTCAATAATCCAAAGTGATGATAATTAATGTTACTAGCTAATTGAGTTTTCTTTTAACAGTATTTGGTTCAAAGATTTTGTTACATAACTGTTAGAGGCCATTCATCTTTAAAAAGCTAAGTTGGAATAGATTTGAAAAGAAAAGTTTTCTTAAAACAATTCGTTAAATACAACGAATTGAACTTAAATACAGTGAATGTGTTAGACATTGGAAGCATATTGAGACAGTTTTTACTTTCAACAGAAATATAATGATGCCCTCATTATCAGTGAGCATGCACGAATGAAAGATGCTCTGGATTACTTGAAAGACTTCTTCAGCAATGTCCGAGCAGCAGGATTCGATGAGATTGAGCAAGATCTTACTCAGAGATTTGAAGGTGAGTGGTGTTTTCAGAGGAGGAAGCCACAGTAGCATTCTTGGTGACTGGAATGGCAAAACAAACATGTATTGCATTTAATATATATAAACTTGGGGATGCTTAGGGAGTTGTCCTGGATGTAGGAAGATGGAGATGGTAGGACTATTTAGCTTCAATGAAATCTAGTACCTATGGGAAGAGTCTGTTGCTTATACCATTCCCTATTTAGAAGAAGGAAAAACAAGATTTGCAAAGGGTGTTTCCCATATGGTTCACAGACAGTAGCATTCTTTTTGTTTAACGTTCTTTTTTAGTAATTTTATAAAGCTTTAAAAATATGAAAAAGTGTTTTAACGATATTAAAAAAACCATAATTTATGTATACTTTTTTTTTTTTTTTGAGATGGAGTCTTGCTTTGTCGCCCAGGGTCAAGTGCAGTGGCTCAATCATGGCTCACTGCAACCTCTGCCTCCCGGATTCAGGCAATTCTCATGTCTCAGCCTCCCGAGTAGCCAGGACTGCAGGTGTGCGCCACCACACCCGGCTAATTTTTGTATTTTTAGTAGAGATGGAGTTTTGCCATGTTGGCCAGATTGGTCTCAAACTCCTGACCTCAAGTGATCCACCCGTCTCTGCCTCCCAAAATGCTGGAATTACAGGCATGAGCCACTGTGCCTGGCCTATATATATTTTTACATAAAGAGGAAACCAAAATGGCACATAATCTCACTGCCTGCATATGATTAAAAAATAGATATTAAACAAACAAAAAAAAGTTTTCCTTCTCCCTGTTTTGAATTCTTTCCCAAAGGTAATTAGTGCTAATAATTTTGGGGTTTTTTTGGCCTCTACCTAAGTATTTACTGTACATATGTGTAACCAGTGCTGTGCTGGTTAATATTTAACAACCCACTAGAGAAAAAATGTATGCATATATATGTACATAAGCTTATTATTTTATTGATATAGAGGAGTTATACAAACCACAATTTATAAATAAAAATAAACTATTCTTTATTGTAAATTCCACATAGCCAATTGGTTCTCATAGAATGCTTTTGGTGGTTTTTGCAGATTTTTTGTATCCATGGCCAACCAAGGGTTGCAATGACAAAGAAGTGTGGTTCTTTCTGATATGGTTGTTGGTATATAGTTTCATTAATGTTAGAAGATAAAGATGAAACAACAAAGGTGTATGTTGGAACTTCACTCGTTTGCCAGTGATGCAAGCAATTTTTTGCTGAACTGTATAATAGTTTTTCAAAAACTGGGAGAATGTTTCTCAATATTTTGTGCTATTCAATGTAATAGCTAAATTTAATCTGTATTATTATTTTTTGATCATGTTCATAAGTCTAAACTCTCAACATAAATTAAGCCGGGCATGGTGGCTCACACTTGTCACCATGGCACTTTGGGAGGCTGAGGTGGGTGGATTACTTGAGCTCAGGAGCTGGAGATCAGTCTGGGCAGCATGGCGAAACCCCATCTCTACAAAAAATACAAAAATTAGCTGAGCATAGTGGTATGCTCCTGTGGTCCCAGCTCCTTGGGAGGCTGAGGTGGGAGGATCACCTGAGCCTGGAAGGCAGACGTTGCAGTGAGCCGAGATTGCACCACTGGACCCCAGCTTGGGTGGTAGAGTGAGTCCTTATCTCAATCAATCAGTCAATCAATAAAGCACTGATTTTTTGTGTTTTCTTGATTTCCATGGTATAACTGCTCCCACTGTAGTGAATTCCAGGCTACCAACATGATGTCATTGAACTAGTGTTAAAAAGAGATGAGCAGCAGCACATCATTCTATAGTATTTCTACCATATAGATAACAATAGGTGTAACTAACCTCAAAAGCGTAGATAATTGTAAAAAGTAATAAAATTTAACAATTGGCCAGGCATGGTGGCTCACACCTGTAGTGCCAGCACTTTGGGAGGCTGAGATGGGTGGGCCACCTGAGGTCAGGAGTTCAAGACCAGCCTGGCCAACATGGTGAAACCCCATCTCTACTAAAGATACAAAATATTAGCCAGATATGGTGGCACGCACCTGTAATCCCAGTTACTTGAGAGGCTGAGGCAGAAGAATCGCTTGAACTCAGAAAGCAGAGGTTGCAGTGAGCCAAGAGCGCACCACTGCACTCCAGCCTGAGTGCCAGGAGACTCCATCTCAGGAAAAAAAACAAAAACAAAAACCGATAAAACAGAAACCACAACAGTTGACTCCCATAGTCCCATAGTCCGGTATGATCTGGCTGTAACACACCCCTGTTTTATAACTATATGTATTTTTTTTCTTTTTCCTTTTTTTTGAGACAGAGTATCATTCTCTTTCCCAGGCTGTAGTGCAGTGGTGAGATCTTGGCTCACTGTAACCCCTGCTTCCCAGGTTCAAGTGATTCTCCTGCCTCATCCTCCTGAGGAGCTGGGATTATAGGCGCCCATCACCACGCCTGGCTAATTTTTGTATTTTAAGTAGAGATGGGGTTTCAGCATGTTGACCAGTCTGGTCTTGAACCCCTGACCTCAGGTGATCCACCCATCTCAGCCTCCCAAAGTGCTGGGATTACAGGTGTGAGCCACCACACCCGGCCTGACTATATTTTTAAAGATGGGATAATACTGAACATACTGTCCTTACCTTGATTTTTTTAACCTTAAAATATTTTTGGTATCATATATATCATGTACATAGCTCCCTTATTAATTTTCACAGCCACATTGTATTAACATCAGATGCATAGCCCATGATCTTTTGAACTGTTTCCCTATTGTTGGGTACTTAGGTTTTCTGTTTTTCTTTTACACCCTGAACAGTGGTACAGTGAAATCCTTGGAGACCTCTTCCATAATTTTCTAAATATAACTGTGTCTCAAATTCTTAGATGTAGAATTATTGGATCAAAAGATGTGTGTGTATTATGTTTTGATATATATTGCCAAATTACCTCTTAAAAGGTTGTACCAATTTAAAACAGTACTTACTACTCATAAAATTCTGGTCAAAGATTTAGAGATCAGCTGTTTGAACGATAGCTAAAGGTCACAGTGTGTTCTAAATTTTTAGAATTTATAAGCCATTTATAAAATGTTTCCCATTTGCAGAAAAGCTGCAGGAACTAGAAAGTGTTTCCAGGGATCCCAGCAATGAGAATCCTAAACTTGAAGACCTCTGCTTCATCTTACAAGAAGAGTACCACTTAAACCCAGAGACAATAACAATTCTCTTTGTGAAAACCAGAGCACTTGTGGACGTAAGCTTTTTTTCTCCTTGTAGATAACAAATGGACCCAGCACTATTCATTGAAAAGATTGGGCTGGGTATGGTGTCTCACGCCTGTAATCCCAGAAGTTTGGGAAATCAAGGCAGGAGAATTGCTTGGGGCCAAGAGTTCAAGACCTGCCTGGGCAACATAGTGAGACCTCATCTCTTAAAAAAGAAAAATTAGCTGGTGCTGTGCACCTGTAGTTCCAGTTACTTGGGAGGCTAAGGCTAGAGGATTGATTGAGGCTGCAGTGATCATGACAGCGTACTCTGCACTCCAGCCTGAGCAACAGAGGTAGAACCTGTGTCTAAAAAAAAAAAAAAAGCCGTTTTCTCTCTACGGTCAAGAAACCATATATGTGTATGTGTGAGTCTGTTCTGAGTTTCTCTATTCTGTTCTGATTATATGTTTATCCTTATACTAATACTCTAATGCCTCACTGTGTTGTTTTTTTTTCCCCCACTTAGAGACGGGGTCTCACTCTGTCACCTAGGCTGGAATGCAGTGGTGCAGTCATGGCTCTCTGCACCCTCAACCTCTCAAACTCAAGCGATTCTCCCACCTCATCACCCTCTGCCACCATGCGTGGGACTACAGTCATCTGCCACCATGCCCAGCTAATTTGTTTATTTATTTTTGTAGAGGTGGGGTCTTGTTATGTTGCCTAGACTGGTCTTGAATTCCTGGCCTCACATAATCCTCCCACCTTGCCCTCTCAAAGTTTTGGAACCTGGCTTCATGCTGTCACTATGTTAGTCACTCTAATTGTAAGTATTGATACTTGTAGAGCAAGCATTTCTTCCTTTTTTTACTTTTTAAATTTTAGTCATTTTGTGAGTAGGTAATGATACCTCATTAGAGTTTTAATTTTCATTTCACTAATGAGTAATATGGCTGAACATCTTTCTTCTGCTTGTTAGCGATCTGTAACTGCCTTGGTGAGGTGTCTGTTCAGATCTTTGAAAACCAATCTTTTGAAAAGATTGGTATATCATCTGATTGAGTTTTTGAGAATTCTTTTTATAGTCTGACAAAAAAGTCCTCTGTCAGAAATGTGATTTGCAGATATTTTCTTCTGGTCTGTGGCTTGTCTGCTTATTCTCTTGACAGTATCTTTTGCAGATGGAAAGTTTTAAGTTTTGACAAAGTTCAGTATATCAGTTTTTTCTTTTATGGGTTTTTGCCTGTGGTGGTATTATCTCTAAAAATCCTTTGCTTACCTAAGGTCACAAGGATTTTCACTATGTTATCATCTAGAAGCGTTACAGCTTTACATTTTACATTTAGGTCTACAGTCAATTTTAAATTAATTTTGTATAAGGCGTGAGGTATTGGTTGAGATGCTTTCTTTTTTTTTTCTTTTTGTGTATGGACATTCAGTTGTTCCAGTTCTCTATGTTGACAAGACTATCCTTTCTTCACTGAATTGCCTTTGTAACTTCTGAAAACATCAGTTGACTATATTTGCATGGATCTGTTTCTGGATTCTCTGTTTTGTTTATTGATCCATACATACACCTCTTCACCCATTCCATGCTGTCTTGATCACTGTAGCTTGATAGTAAGTCTTGACATGGGGTGATGTGAGTCCTCCAATTTTTTTTTTAAAGGTTGTTTTTAGCTATGTTCCTTTGCCTTTCTATATACATTTTAGAGGCAGCTGGTCCACATCTATGAAAAAATCTGCTGGGATTTTATTGAATCTGAACACAAAACTGAGGCTGGGCATGGTGGCTCACACCTGTAATCCCAGCACTTTGGGAGGCTGAGGCGGGCGGATCACTTGAAGTCAGGAGTTTGACATCAGCCTGGCCAACATGGTGAAACCCTGTCTCTACTAAAAATACAAAAATTAGCCTAGCGTGGTGGCTTGCACCTGTAATCACAGATACTTGGGAGACTGAGGCAGGAGAATCACTTGAACCTGGGAGGTGAAGGCTGCGGTGAGCTGAGATTGCACCACTGCTCTCCAGCCGAGTGATGGAGTGAGACTTGGTCTTGAAAAAATAAAATATTTTTAAAAATACATAAAGATAAAATTGGGGAGGAATGACATCTTGACAATATTGAGTGTTCTAATCCATGACCATAGTATATCTCTTTATTTATATATGGCTTCCGTATTAGTTATATAATGCTGAGGAACAATTACCCTAAAACTGAGTGTCTGGAAACAACAAACATCTATTATCTTACAATATCTGTGAGCCATGAATCTGGAAACAATTTAACTGGGTGTTTCCGGCTGAAGATCTCTCATGAGGCTGCAGTGAAGGTGCTGGCCATGGCTTGACTGGGGAAGGTTAACTTCCAAACTCCTCTCATATGGCTGTTGGCTGAAGAGCCTCTGAGTTCACTCATGTGGGCCTCTCCACAGGTCCATCTCACAGACCAGCAGATGGCTTCCCCTAGAGAGAGTGATCCCAGAGATTGAGATAGAGGGTGTCTAATTTGGAAGCCACAGTCATAACTTCATCTTGGAAATGATGCCACATTGCATCTGTTGTATTTTATTCATTAGAAGCAAGTCAGTAAGTCCCCTTCACACTCAGGGGAGGGGATTACATGAGGATCTGAATACAGAAGGTGGAGATCATTGAGGGCTACCTTAGAGGTAGACTAACCAGATGTTCTTTGGTTTCTTTTATCAGTGTTTTGTCATTTTCAGCAGATTCTGCACATATTTTGTTAGACTTATACCTAGGTATTAATTTTTTGATGCTATTATAAATGGTACTTTAAAACCTTTTTTTTTTTTTTTTTTTTTTGAGACAGGGTCTCACTCTCATTGCCCAGGTTGGAGTACACTAGTGTGATCACAGCTCACTGCAGCCTCAACTTCCCTAGCTCAGGTGATTCTCCCATCTCAGCCTCCCCAGTAGCTGGGACTGCAGGTGTAAACCACCACACCCAGCTAATTTTTATTTTTATTTATTTAATTTTGAGACGGAGTCTCGGTCTGTCACCCAGGCCGGAGTGCAGTGGCACAACCTCGGCTCACTGCAACCTATGCCTCCCCGGTTCAAGCGATTCTCTTGCCTCAGCTTCCTGAGTAGCTGAGACTACAGGTGTGTGCCACCATGCCCAGCTAATTTTTGTATTTTTAGTAGAGACAGGCTTTTGCCATGTTGCCGAGGTTGGTCTTGAACTCCTGGGCTCAAGTGACTCTCCTGCCTCGGCCTCCCAAAATGCTGGGATTATAAGTGTGAGCCACTGTGTCCAGTACTTAAAAACTTTTGAAATTCCAATAGTTTGTTGCTAGTATGTAGAAATTCAGTTGAATTATGTATATTGATCTCCTGTCCTGTGATCATGCTAAACTCACTTATTCTACATACCCACTATTTTTGAACTTTTGTTTTTTCTTTTAAAAATGTCTTAGAGATGGCCAGGTGCGGTGGCTCATGCCTGTAATCCCAGCACTTTGGGAGGATGAGGTGGGTGGATCACGAGGTCAGGAATTCAAGACCAGCCTGGCCAACATGATGAAATCCTGTCTCTACTAAAAATACAAAAATTAGCCATGCATGGTTGCTGATGCCTGTAATCCCAGCTACTCGGGAGGCTGAGGCAAAGAATTGCTTGAACCTGGGAGGCGGAGGTTGCAGTGAGCGAAGATCGTGCCACTGCACTCCAGCCTAGGCGGTAGACCAAGACTCCATCTCAAAAAAAAAAAAAAAAAAAGTCTTAGAGATTAAACCATATCAGGTTACAGAGATCTATGCCATTTTAGTTAATTATTACATAGAGTTCAATTCCAAAATGCTTTTTTTCTCAGGTTTGTCAGTCTGAAAACTGTACGTGTACTAACTTTAAATTTTTTTCTTTTTGCATGTATTTCAATATTGAATTAATACAAATGATTTATAAGGAGTGTCCAATTGATAATTGCTTTTCATTTTCAGGCTTTAAAAAATTGGATTGAAGGAAATCCTAAACTCAGTTTTCTAAAACCTGGCATATTGACTGGACGTGGCAAAACAAATCAGAACACAGGTATTTATATATAGTGAATTAGATTTAGTGGATTATGCATTTAAGAATATGTGTGTGTGTGTATGTATATGTGTGTGTGTATATATATAATATATATTTCAAATTCTGTTTTAATATATATTTCAAGTTCTGTTTTAATGCTTCTATCAGTCAAGGTTTAACCACAGAAGCAAAAGCAGTAGGTGATTATACATATATATGAGAGGTGTGTGTTGTATATGTGTCCACATATGCATATATACAGAGATTTCTTGCAAGGAATTTTACACAATTGGGCTGGCAAAGCAAGTCTGAAGCGTGTAGGGCAGGTAGTCAGGAAGAGACTATCAGGAACAGACTGGAACCCCCCAGACATGAGCTGTTTGGAGTCTCTGACTTTGGAGAAGGCCTAAGCCGTCTTTTAAAAGGCTCACCTGATTAGGCCAGGCCCACCTGGAGTGAACTCTCTTTTGATCTGACTTAAAGTCAACTGATTAGGGACTTGAATCCCATCGGTAAAATCTCTTCAGAGCAGTACCTAGATGAATTACTGGGAACTGTTGTTTGGCCTAGCCAAGTTAATGCATCAAAAAGCCATCACAATGCTCAAATGCCAAAAACCACTCCAGGCTCTTTCCTTGTAGACATTGCCTCCTCTCATATGTCCTGCAGACAAAGCCAGGGTTGTTTTTTAAGTCATGCTTGCACGCATTATCATCCTGCTCAAATTTTCAACCAATAGATTAAGATTGTCTAGAAATAGAAATGTTCTATTTCTGTTTTATTGTTATTCTTTAAGCAGTAGATATGCATAGCTTTTGTGTATATTATGTATTTTACAATTTTAAAAAGTCCAAGCAGACAATTCTGAAATCCAGCTAGAGTGGTCAAAGGATAAAAGGCTGCCTGTGTTATTATCTGGGAGGATCCTAGGTGGCCCGCCCTCATCCTGACCACCTCACAGCTGTGCCCCCCACCCCTCAGTGACTGGCACTGACAAGTCTTCCTATTTAGTGTTGTTTATAATAAGCACCCTCCCATACCCACCCTGTCAGTCCCTAGTTATCACCCTCGCACTTTCCCTTCATGTCATTTTTAAACTTCATAAATATGAAAAGTAGATTCAGATCTTAAAAAGTGGCTCACCAAATGAAGTCTAACACCATATTTTTGTGGTTGGGATTCAAAGTTCTCTGCGATCTGACTCCAACATGAGTCCTCCTTGATTTTCAAACTTTGTTGTTCCTCCACAAGTAGACACTCAGGAAATATTTTCTTATTGGTTTGTTCATTTATTCATCCGTTCATTCAACAACATTTATTTATAACTTGTGCTGTGCCAGGCATTGTGCTTCTGCCATGTAGCCTTCCCCAACCTCCAAAAACTGGTAGAGAGCTCCTTCTTCCACATTCGCATAGCATCCTTTCTGTGCTCATCATACTCAATTATAGCTTCTTATTTATATTTTTCTTCTACAAAATGTGAGCTCCTTGTGGATAAAAATGGACCTTTTAATCATTATTTTTATCTGACAAGCCATAATTGCTGAATAAATGTTTGACTGAATAGATGAATAAACTAAGAAATTAATCACGTATGATGTCTGTTCCAGAGATGCTCATTGTTTAGTAGATGATGATGGTGAAAAGAAATTGTTTTGGCCTTAGCAAAATATATCTCAAGATTTGGGCTGGAAATATATTAGGAAAAAATTGGAACTTTTATTTATTTTATTTTATTTTTGAGACAGAGTCTTGCTCTGTTTTCCAGGCTAGAGTGCAGTGGCACGAACTCAGCTCACTGCAACCTTCCAGTTTCAAGTGATTCTCATGCCTCAGCCTCCCAAGTAGCTGGGATTACAGGTGCACACCACCATGCCCAGCTAATTTTTGTATTTTTAGTAGGGACAGGATTTTGCCATGTTGGCCAGGCTGGTCTTGAACTCCTGGCCTCAAGTAATCTGCCACCTTGACCTCCCAAAATGCTGGGATTACAGGTGTGAAACACCATGCCTAGCCAATTGGAGCTTCTATAAATTCTGTTAACCCTGAGGTAGAGACCACTGAAGTATTTTCTTCACTCAGTTTATCAGTGTGAACTCTATAGCTTTTATCGAATGGGTTAAACTTGATTTACCAGTAAATTAAGACAATTTTAGCTGAATTTGTTTCTGGTCTGATCCTCTTCCTTGCACAGTTAAGCTAGAAGAATTGTGAACACCTTTTTTTACAAAAAGCTGCATGTAAACAAGCAAAAGTTCAGTTTGCTAAATTTGTATATTTCCACATTTCCATTTCTTAATTTCCTGTTTCATGAAGAAGCAGGTTACCTAACCTCTTCATGACTTACTTTCTTCATCTGTCAAATGGAAAAATAATAATAGTACCTAGCTGAGAGGGTTAATGTCAGTAGCAAAATCTGGCTCACTGCCTGCTTATGAATGACTCTTGAGCTGAGAATGATTTTTGTTTGAAAAAAAATCAAAAGAATATTTTATGACATGTGAAAGGTTTGTGCAATTCAAATTTCATTGTCTATAAAATAACTTTTTGGGGGAACACAGTCATGACCATTCATGTATGTATTGTCTGTGGCTGCTTTCCAACTATAATGGCAGTGTTGGGTAGCTGAGACAGCATGACCCACAGAGCCTAAAGTATTTACTATACATCTAGCCCTTATGGAAAAAGTTTGCCCACTTCTGGTTTAGAACAATGCCTGGCATGTGGTGAGTGCTCAATGTATGTTAAATGTTAGTTACTATTCACATCCAGAACTTTTATGTAATGGTCCACAATGCTCATCATTTGTTTGATTTTGGTTTTACTGAGAATACATGGATTCAAAAATAACAGAAAGTATGTATCTTTAAAAAAAGTATTCTGGATAAAGAAAGCTCAAAAGTAAAATCAAAATAATGTTTAGAGATTGATTTTTAAGCAACTTTCTGAAAATAAAGCTGCCTGCATTTGAATTTTCATGACTTTGAATGGTAAATAATTCAAAAACCACAAGGGATCTTTTTCCACAAACTCTTGAGTCCACTGCCAGCTAGGTAATGGAAAGTAATATGGATTACCTTGCTCTACCTGCCTGAGGTGGGTCCGCCCTGTGAGCAGTGAGTGGAGATCAGGTGATTCTACTAATAGATAAACGTAGATGTCTTTAGGATCCACACGGTTTGAAGTGCGCATATTGTTTGAGCCACCATTTTGGGTGTCCGCCATGATTACACAAACTGGGTGATTATCACATCCAAACTTCACACTGTATTCAGACAATTTAAATTTAGCCTCCACTATCGCAGGATATTAGAAGGCAGTATGTGGTTGTCTTAGTCAAGATCCTTTCTTTTCCCCGATTAACAGAAACCCACTTACGCTAGTCTAAGTAGAAGGGGGTGTGGCTGCTACCGGGATAATTGGGTCTACCATAGAACCCGCAGTTCGGAAGTGCACTCGGGCTTTGTGGACAATTGCAATCCTGAATCCTGCACATCTGCTTCACAGTTTTCCCTTTACAGATTGCTGTCTCTGCTTCTCCATTCATGACTGCCCCACACCTTCCTGATTTACTACCTGTCTCCAATCCCAATTTCAGATTCCAAGAGGGAAGAATTGGATTGGCCCAACATAGTTCAAATGCTTATTTCAGTCCAGTAGCTGCAGCCAGGAACAGGCTGTGTATAAATCAGTGTAATCTAATTGCTCTAACAGACAACCCTCACGATCTCAGGGGCAGGGCAAAATAAAAGTTATAGCTCACACTCACAGATGTGGATAGGTAGGGGTGGGGGCTCTGCTCACTTATGCTCCCAAGTGTAGATAGGTAGGGGTGGGGGCTCTGCTCCATCCTCTTCCACTTATTGTAGGGACCCAGGCTCCTTCCTTGTTATGGCTCTGTCATCACAGGGGGTCTCCAAATCCTCCACTATGACCTTATCTGGTCCATTGATGAGAAATAACAAGAACATGGACAATTTTTAGGGGTCTGGTTTGGAAGAGACACACATGACCTCTGTCTACATGCCATTAGTGACAGTTTAGATTGCGAAATATAATTCAGCTGTGTGTGCCTAGCAGGAGAAAGAAACAAGATTGGTGAGCAGATAGCATTGCCTCTTTCATAGAGAAACATAATACAACTGTATTGTGGGTGGGTGTGGCAGAAAATGATTCTTAGTTTGTGTATGGGGAGGCAGACACCCCAACAGTGCACACTATTAGGGTCTTAAACTGAAGTTCAAGGCCCAACACTGCTGATAGCTAGCTTGTCAGTTTACCTCACTTCTGGAACCTCAAGCCCCTCATTTGTGTCTTTTTTTTTTTTAAGATAGAGTCTCATTCTCTTGCCCAGGCTGGAGTGTAGTAGTGCCATCATGGCTCACTGCAGCCTCAACTTCCCCAGCTCAGGTGATTCTCTTACCTAAGCCTCCTGAGTAGCTGGGGCTACAGGTGTGTGCCACCATGCCCAGCTAATTCTTAAATTTTTTGTAGAGATGGGTTCTCCCTGTGTTAACCAGGCTGATTTCAAACTCCTAGGCTCAAGTGATTCACCTGCCTTGGCCTCCTAAAGTGTTATGACTATAGGCGTGAACCACCATGCCTGGCACGACCCTCGTTTGTTAAGGGGAATCAGAGCACTTACCCTTTGACCTATAGGGCTTTATGATGCTCTGGTGAGTGAGAAGATGTGAAAATGTTTTGTCAGCTATAAATTCTTACACACATGTAAAGGTGTTACAATTAGGTGTTGATATTTCTGCAAAAATGTCTATTTCTTGGATAATATGGCTAAAGCCATACAACTAGTAAGTCCCCCAGAGCTGGGATTTGAACTCAGTCTTGTGGCAGAGTCTGAGTGTTAGATGCCACCCTAAATGTCCTTTCTGAAACAGGCATAGGAATAGATCCCACTGCCTAGGTGTGTTGTGAGATCATGGATATAAAGTACTTATCACAGTACTTGGCATATAATAAGCATTCCATAATTAGTAGCTGTTTTTTCAAGGGGGAAGTTCCCTCTTTGGTGAGTTGTATAATGCCCTCTTACTCTGACACAGGAATGACCCTCCCGGCACAGAAGTGTATATTGGATGCATTCAAAGCCAGTGGAGATCACAATATTCTGATTGCCACCTCAGTTGCTGATGAAGGCATTGACATTGCACAGTGCAATCTTGTCATCCTTTATGAGTATGTGGGCAATGTCATCAAAATGATCCAAACCAGAGGTAAGAGAAGCTTTGAGGCCATTCCTACATGGATTCTGTTTTGACTGATTTATAAGTGTATGTGTCATTCTGGCCTTTCTCTTTACTGAGCCATGGTTGAGTATGTGACCAATGGCACAGTGCACTTTGGTATCATTGGCCCTTAAGGTGGCTACAGTTTTGTTCACTAACATAAACTCTACTTTGATTCTTACAATGATGCTGCTCACTTGCCTGGCATTGACTGATATATTTATGGAAGAATAATTCCAACTTGGATTGAAGCTTTGCCAGTCAACATGTAAACCTTTCATGGTGGTGCTGGTGGGCTGAAGGGCCCCCTGTATTCAAGAAGGGATACTCCAGAGTTGTTCTGCCCCACCTGGACTTGACTAGTCTCCTAACTATTCTTTCCTCCTTTTTCCTTTTCTTCTTAAAATTCCATAAGTACAGCTATCATATTACTTTTCCTGAAAAACAGCTCGATCGTGTCACTTCCTTGTATTGAAACACCAGTGGTTCCCCAATTTACTTGATGCTAAAGAGTTTCCAAAATCCAACACCTATTTCATTCCAACTTTATTTCCCATTCTTCCCTTTTGTGCATTATCCACTTCCGCCAACCTGACTTCCTCACTTATTGCTTGTTGACGGAACTGCTCAGATACTGCTACTCTTCATTTTACCTCTTCCCCTGCCTCCATATCACCTGACCCTAATCCTCCCAGCTGGCAAAAATCTCTCTTTTGAACATATAAAGCCTATAACCTTTTATATCTGTCTTTGTAATAGCACTTAAAATTTTCCACCTATGTTTTGCTGGTTATGAAGAGATCTTATTTCCTCATTGTCTAGAAGGTTCTTGAAGGAGGGCCTGTTTACTGCTCATCTTAGAGCCATCACAGTGTCATACTGGGGGTTCATGTAGGTATCTTTAAAGCAGTGTTTCTGACAGTACGGCTGTCTAATCACCCTGCATTGTTGAGACCCTGAGAAAGCCAGCCTAAGGTGGGCTCCTAGTTTTTCCACATATTTAACATGCAGGTGCACACCTGCATTTGAGTCTTTTTTTTTTTTTTTTTTTTTTTTTTTGAGATAGGTCTTGCTCTGTCACCCAGGCTAGAGTGCAGTGGTGTAATCCTAGCTCACTGCAGCTTCAAACTCCTGGGTTCAAGCAATCCTGCCTCATGAGTTCACTCTTTAACAGCTCAACTTTCCTGGGAAGTGGGATTCAGTGAACCAAAGTTGAATTTTAGGAGTACCTCTATTTGTTTACCTATTTGCAGATTATATCAGAGCTTTAAGTCAAAAACACCAACTAAAATATTTATTTTCTAATAGGCAGAGGAAGAGCAAGAGGTAGCAAGTGCTTCCTTCTGACTAGTAATGCTGGTGTAATTGAAAAAGAACAAATAAACATGTACAAAGAAAAAATGATGAATGACTCTATTTTACGCCTTCAGACATGGGACGAAGCAGTATTTAGGGAAAAGGTAAGTCTACGTTATTCTTCCAGCATCTGACCATAAATAACTATCAGGGAATGTGAGGAGGATGGTTGGTATCTTTTATCATATTGCTTAGAGTGTTATATTACAACAAAAAGTTTATACTTAGTGAATATTAAATTCATTCTGTTTTTAAATGTCAATGAGGTTAAATTATATTTAATAGTGCTAATAACTGAAGTTATGTTTTCAGATCTAAAAGGCAAATTGAGCTAGGATTTCTCTAGTTGACAGTTCATCTCGAGGACTATATCCTAATACTGGAAAAAACAGCTGTTCTTAGTCTCTTCCTTAAATCTCTCTCCAAAGAGTCCTCAGAGAAAAGCTCCTAGGTCACTGTGCAGGTATTGGAATGTCTTTTTATAGCTGTGGACAATGATATACACCTTGGAATGGGATGCCTATTCAGATCAACCTCTTAGTGTAATGACCTTCATTTCATTGTAATTTCCGTAACACAGAAACATGAAATCAGATTGGAGAAAGTCAAGAAACACATACCCATACTTTCTCCAGACCCATTGCAGAGATTTTCATCTCAGAATCTCTGGAAGCATGATCACTGCAGGGCTAGGGGAGAGCTTTAACACTAGAATCCATGGTTCAAATCCCAGTTCTATCAGTTGCAAGATGTGTGACCTCAGGCAGTTGCTCTGTCTTTTAAATAATCAATCTCCTCATGTAAAAAGTGGGGAAAATAATAGTATTTAACTCCCAGGGTGGTCATGAGGATAAATGAGATGTATGCATTGCATCTCTTAGCGCCTGGCATAAAATACGTGCCCAAGAAATGAGAGCTGTTACTGGACAGAAGTGTGAGACATAGTTTAACTTCATGAAGATGAACCTTACAGTTTAATAGACCAACTCCATAGTGTCTATAATTTTAAAAAGTCATAATCTCTGTGCTCCAAAAAGTATTGACCATCAATTATCTAAAGCAGATTAACACTTATTTTAGGACACAAATCAAAACTTTGTCAATGTTTACTAGTCTAAAAACATTTTTCTTCCTAAAGCTGGGAGATTAAGTTATCTAGAACCACCTCTTCCACATTTTCAGTGAGAAGAATTGCAGGGAAATTATTTAGTTCCTCCCTTAGTTTTACTGGGGATGGGATTCTCTATTCTCTCTTCACTGAGCCACCTTTCCATTTTGTAAAATATATTGCCAATACACGTTTTAAAACCACGAGTTTTAATAGCCATGGCATAATTTTTATCTCTTCTCCTAGGTGACAAGCTACTTAGACTCATGTGACAGAAGCAACAGAGTAAAAGTCTGTTGAGGAAGAGAGAGGCTAGACCAGATGTAGGCATTCTTTTGTAGCCAGCACACCAGGATAAGGAGTGGGGTGAGGAGGAAATGGGTTAAGTATCTGTTGAATCAGGCTATGTAATAGCATTTGGGGTTCCCGTAACACTTACAGATAGATAGGCAGAGATGGTAGGGAACAAGAAGCCCTATAACCAGTGTAGCTGGGAGTTACTGGCAGCTGGGAAGCCTGAGTTGTGTTGGTATCCCTGTCCTATCATACATGACCAGGCCCAGCTGCCCTGCTCAAAGGGGAAGGATTTGCTTTCAAAGGCTTAGTAAAGGCCGGGCGCGGTGGCTCATGCCTGTAATCCCAGCACTTTGGGAGGCCGAGGCGGGTGGATCACGAGGTCAGGAGATTGAGACCACGGTGAAACCCCGTCTCTACTAAAAATACAAAAAATTAGCCAGGCGCGGTGACGGGCACCTGTAGTCCCAGCTACTCGGGAGGCTGAGGCAGGAGAATGGCGTGAACCCGGGAGGCAGAGCTTGCAGTGAGCCGAGATCGCGCCACTGCACTCCAGCCTGGGCAACAGAGTAAGACTCCGTCTCAAAAAAACAAACAAAAAAAGGCTTAGTAAAAGTATAACGAGGTAGGGAAAATCTTATATTCTTAAGACTAAAGGGAATTATGGTTCTAGGGGTGAGCCCCCCTTTTGTGGGTGCTTTGATAAGGGTTTGGGGTTTGGGTTTGAGCATCCTGGTCCCTGTATATGGGTTTTAACGGAAGGAAGGAACTCTGCAGAACAGAGGGCAAAAGCTTGGAGCTCTTTAGGGCAATCTGCAAGAACAGGAAAGGGAGAGGGATGAGCAGAGTACTGGCAGACTGCTTTCTTCCCCAGCGCCCCAGCTGTACTGTCCATTGTCTGTGTGTGGCCTGCTGTCACTAGAGCACTCCCCATCCCCCGCCCCAGAATTCTCTGGTCACTCTGCAGCCATCTTAACATGTAGACAGCCCAGAGGTATCCAAGAACTGATTTCCATGGTGGACGCTTCAGGATTTGGTGGTGTTTCATTCTGGAGGAATAAGGGATGAACGGTATGACAGTTGTGGTTGTGAAGGTTTATTTGAAATCAGAATGAGGAGGAAGCTGTTTTTCTTTCCTCATGGAGCAGAGAATAAAGATGGGGTGAAAGAAAGTTCATTCTGAACAAAGAACTTCCAACATGCATACCCATGACTACACATAATTAAGATAGTTTGCTTTTCTCCACCTCAGTGTGTGGAGCTAGGCTGCTTCTTTAGCCACAGGTTGCATGGGTGAAGGTCAGTATGCCATAGACTTAACTTATGATTGGTTGAGCCTCTTTACCCAGTTATTGATTTTTACTTAGTTTTAAGTATAGCTGTAATAGTTTTAACTTATTAGGATTTATACCTATTGCCTAGAGTAACACTTAAAATATTTGAGATTATTAGTATTTAATTGAATTTCAGTATATAATTGAATACCATTATAAGTGAATTTTTTTAAAAAGTTGGATGCCTGAAAGGCAAGGTTATATTTTCACCTTCTTTCCTGGTAACCTCTATTCTGCTTAAGTAGTGATTAGAACCATATCTGAAAAAGAAATTAAAAAAGAAAATTAAAATTGCTCATAGGAAAATGTGTATCATATAACCCAGGGATTTCAATTCTAGAAATTTGTCCAAAGGAAAGAATGGGATAAATACATATAATGTAACAGTTTTACAACTGAAAAATTGGATTAAAAACAGGAGGCCTGGACACCCTTTATTTTTACAAAAATAATGAAGATAATTTCAGGTGGGATGGGGCCAAGAAGTGGGGAAGGGGAAATTATATTTGGTTTTTAATTTTTTAATTATTTCTTATTTATTTTTTTGAGACAGAGCCCAGGCTGGAGTGCAGTGGTGTGATATTGGCTCACTGCAATCTCAGCCTCCCAAGCAGCTAGGACTACAGGTGTGTGCCACCACGCATCACTAATTTTTGTAGTTTTAGTAGAGATGGGGCTTTGCTATGTCGCCCAGGCTGGTCTTGAACTCTGGACTCAAGTGATATGCCAGCCTCGGCATATCCCAAAGTGCTGGGATTACAGGCGTGAGCTACTGTGCCCAGCCAGTATATTTGTTTTTTTAAATCAAAACATTCTAGGTCTAGCTGGGCATGATGGCTCACGCCTATTGCGCCAGCTACATGGGAGGATCATTTAAGCCCAAGAGTTCAAGTCCAGCCAGGGCAACATAGTAGGAATCTATCTCAAAAAGGGGGAGTGGGGGAAAGGAAGCCGGGTGTGGTGGCTTACACCTGTAATGCCAGCACTTTGGGAGGCTGAGGTGGGTGGATAACCTGAGGTCAGGAGTTCAAGACCAGCCTGGCTGACATGGTGAAGCCCCATCTCTACTAAAAATACAAAAATTAGCTGGATGTGGTGGCACCTGCCTGTAATCCCAGCTACTTGGGAGGCTGAGGCAGGAGAATCATTTGAACCCAGGAGCTGGAAGTTGCAGTGAGCTGAGATTGTGCCACTGCATTCCAGCCTGGGTGACAAAATGAGACTCTGTCTCAAAAAAAAAAAAAAAAAAAAAAGCTAGATCTAATTTTTTTTTTATATAAAGCAAATTTGAATTTGAAGTGGTATGGTAATCAATATATTATCTATGTATGATCCGTAACCAATTAAAAGATATAAGGGGGAGGGAGATTTCCATTCGCAGTGACAATAAGTGTAGCTCATGCATGTAGAACACTGACTCTCCAACAGTCCCTGCAAATGCTTTACTTACATCAATAGGCTTTACAGCAATCCATACAGTAGTGCCTCCTATGTCATTTTATAGGCAGGAAACTGAGACTTGAATAGCTTCAGTGCCAGTAGATCACACAGCTAGTTCATGGTAGAGTTGGTAGAACCCATCTGTTTCACCATTACATCTACCAGCCTAATCAGAAAAGTTTGAAGCAGAAATGAGGACAAATAAAAAAATTTTACTGGGAGATATTAAGATAAAAGAAATGCCATGCTCTTGAATGGAATGACTGAATATTTTAAACACGTGCATTCACCCCAAATTTGCTTATTCACGTGTCACAAACCATATTGAAAGCATAAATGATACTTTTAACTTGATAAAATGGTTCTAGAGTTTATATAAAATAATAAATAGATGAAAATAGCTATATTTCTAGAAAAATAAAAATGGGGGTAGCTAGTAGTTTCGTATTGATAAGGCAATCCCTAATGAATGGAGATTGCCTTATCAATACAAAACTACAAGCCACCCCATTAACATTTTCATGGCTCTTAGCATAAGACTAGCCTAACAGAGAAGAGGCAACGGTGATGGGCATTTACCCTGTGCTGGGCAGGCCTGAGCAGTCATAAACTCATGTTATCTCCTGACAGTCCGTGAAGCAGATGCTATTGTCCCATTTTGTATGTAAAGAAACGAGGCACTTGCCCCAAATCACATAGCTGCTAAGTGACAGGGACACTATTTGCACCTAGGCTGTCTGGATCCACCTGGGACACGTGAAAGCATAATCTGATATGGAGAGGCGCCACCATAAACCATAAACCAGTGGGACGGACAGAATCTTCCATAGAAGACATGGAGGAAATCAGTGTGTTCTTTCTTCCTTCATGAGGCTTCAGGGTTCCTTTTATCATTTCCTCTGTTTAGAAAACTTCTTTTAGCCATTCTTTTAGGGTAAATCTGCTGATGACAGATTCTCAGTGTTCCTTCATCTAAGAATGTCTTCATTTCTCCTTTATTTTTGAAGGTGGCATTTTGCTGAGTCTAGGGTTCTGGGGTGGACTGTTCTTTTCTTTCAGCGTTTAAAAAATATTGTGCCACTTCCAGGTAGCCTCCATCGTTTCTAATGACAAATCTCCTGTTATTCAGACTGATTTCCCCCTATGGGTAAGGTGTCATTTTTTTTTTTTTTTCTGGCTGCTTTCAAGATTTTTTTCTTCAGTTTTCATAAATTTAATTATAACCTGTCTTAGAGTGTTTTTTGAAGGGGTTTATCCTGTTTGGAGCTTGTTCAGCTTCTTGAATCCTGGTTGATGTAGCTTGTTAAATTTGGGATATATTTGGAGGTCATTTCTGTGAATACTTTTTAAGCCCTGCTCTTTCTTCACTCCTTGCAGAACTCCAGTGCCATGACATCATTTTTTATAGTCCTACGGGTCCTTGAGACTTTGCGCTTTTTTTTTCCCCAGTGTATTTTTTTGTTGTTCAGATTGGGTAATTTCTGTTGTTCTTTCAGTTCACTGACTCTTTTCTTTGTCCCTTCCATTCTGCTATGGAAAGCCCATCCATTGAACTTTTTATTTTGGTTGTATCTTTCAGTTCTAAACTTTATGTCTTCCATTTCATTGTTGAGCCTTTATGTTTTCTCTTTATGTTTCAAAAGTATTTATAATTGCCCATCGAAGCATCTTTATTAGGTGCTTTAAAATCTTTCTCTTCTCAGTGTTGGCATCTATGATTGTCTTTTTTTTTCATTCAGTTTGAGATCTTTCTGTTTATTGGTATGAAGAGTTTTATAATATCATGTCCATGGTTCTAAGTTGGACCATGTTCTTAGCCAAGGCCTAGATTTTGAATTAGAATACAATCATACTATACATATGCAACAATATTCCCTGTGGCTGAAGGGGAGAGAGAAAAAAGGTTTTAGATGTTGGGGGCTGTATTAGTCTGTTTTCATGCCACTGACAAAGACATAACCGAGATTGGGAAAACAAAGAGGTTTAATTGGACTTACAGTTCCACATGGCTGGGGAGGCCTCAGAATCACGGAGGGAGGCAGAAGGCACTTCTTACATGGCAGCGGCAAGAGAAAAATGAGGAAGAAGCAAAAGTGGAAACGCTGATAAACCCATCAGGTCTTGTGAGACACAATCACTATCATAAGAATAGCACAGGAAAGACTGGCCCCCCATGATTCAATTACCTCCCCCTGGGTCCCTCCCATAACACGTGGGAATTCTGTTAAGATACAATTCAAGTTGAGATTTGGGTGAGGACACAGCCAAACCATATCAGGGGCTCTTCTGCCTGTTGTATCACTCACTGAGTTTGTGCCTGCAAATGGATATAATTATGCCTGAAACAGCGCATATTGTATATCTGGTACAGGTTTTGTTTTTTTTCCCAAGTTTTGCCAAACACTAAAGTAGAAAGCATAGTTCATATGACTATTCTATGGACATCTTTAGTGCTTTTATGAGCATTTTTGATGAAGAAATTGAAAGACTAATTGGAGGCCACAATTAAGCATTGACTAATACTAAGTTAGGAGAACCAATAAAATCTGTGATTTTACAAAGTCAGGTACCATATGTTCATGGAAGTTGTATATGAATGATTATACATGTGCGTGCATGTATATGTATTGTACGTATCTGTGCCTGTTTCTTGCTATATATGTTGTACTCAAATTACATTTGCGGTCTTTCTTTTTGCATTAGATTCTGCATATACAGACTCATGAAAAATTCATCAGAGATAGTCAAGAAAAACCAAAACCTGTACCTGATAAGGAAAATAAAAAACTGCTCTGCAGAAAGTGCAAAGCCTTGGCATGTTACACAGCTGACGTAAGAGTGATAGAGGTAAGCTGCCTTTTTACAAAGTGCCTGGTCATGTTTTAGCACTAGCTACAGCTTACTGTTGGTGAAATATTTATAATAAAACTACTATTATTTCCATTGTTACTGTGGCCATGATCTGTGTATTTAAAAAAAGCTAAGAAGTGAAAAAAAAATACTAAATGTTCAATAATAAAGAAATAGTTTTTGGCCAGGCATAGTGGCTCATGCCTGTAATCAAAACACTTTGGGAGGCCAAGGTGGGCGATCACGAGGTCAGGAGTTCGAGACCAGCCCGGCCAACATGGTGAAACCCCGTCTCTACTAAAAATAAAAAAGTTAGCTGGGCGTAGTGGCAGGTGGCTGTAATCTTAGTTACTCGGGAGGCTGAGGCAGGAGAATCGCTTGAACCGGGAGGCAGAGGTTGCGGTGAGCTGATATCGCGCCACTGCGCTCCAGCCTGGGTGACAGAGCAAGACTCTGTCTCAAAAAAAAAAAAAAAAAAGTCATGCTAAATGCAATGACGTGTCCTGGATTAGCTCCTGGAACAGATAAAGGATACAACTAGAGAAAGAGTGGTAAAATCTGTAGTTTAGATAATAGTAATGTACTGATGTTAATTATCTTGGTTTTGACAAATGTGCTGTGGTATATGAGATGTTAACATTTGGGGAAACTGGGTAAAGGGTATGCAGAAATTTTCTGGGATATCTTTGCAATTTTTCTTTAAATCTAAAATTGTTCCAAAGTAAAGTTTATTTTAAAAAATTATGAAGTTTATGTAGTATAATGAAAAACTGCTTACAAACTAATGGTAATAAGGAAAAAAGTAACCAGAACACAGAATTGTAAAGATGCTACTTTGTAGCTGTGTGAAACAACAGCAGCAAATACATTCATTGTCATTGTCAAGAGAAAAAGTCAAAAAACCTACCTTGCTACAGAAAAACAAAGGCTAGGGGAACTATACCAAAATGTATTAATATTTTGGTGGTGAGATTCCATGACTTTTTTTCTCTTTTCCTACTACCTTATGTTTTCCAAACATTCCTTTTGGGCTATGGATCACTTTTATAATGAAAACAAAATATCTCCTTATTTGTAAAATGTGACATCTGCAGATTAGCCTTCTATTGCAGCCTTATATTTCTTTCTTAAAACTTTCAGAGAAAGGGTTAGAAAAATCTCCAAAGAGAAATATGGGGTATAACTCTTGCATGGGGGGCACAGTGGAGGGGCTGGGCTGGCTCAGATGAGGAGTTATTACTTCAGGATGTTCCGTTCGTCTTCAGAAAGCAGAAATCTCTCATCAGCTCAGCTGTTTGGGCAAAAAGCCTATTAGGAGTCATATTGCTAAGTTCCCTTACCTTTCTAAGTCTGCTTCTTTAGCTGTAAAAGGTCCTTTCAGCTCCAATTTGGGTGATTGTTCTACTAAAAATGGCCCTTTTAGACCCTATGTTTTCCTGAGGGACTAGTATGTTGGATCTGCATTTGTTTCTGAGCTGTTTACTCTAAAGTTGACTCTAGGTGGGGCCTGTGGACACATTAGTCCCTGACCTTCTTCAATTGCATCTTGACCTTGGTCGTTTTCCCTGTATCCTTTGGATTGTGCCTGCCAGGGCCACTGGTGAACTTCAGCTTCACAAATTTTCAGCAAACATCGCTTCTGTTTTTGAATAATGAGTATCTACCTTCAGAAGCTGGGTTACCTGGAACCTTCTTAATCTTCTTCTTTATGAGGTGCCCAGTGTCCTCACTTGCAACCCCACCCTGCCTGTAGAGGGGAGTCAGGTGCATGGATCCTCTGGACTTTGGGTGAATCTATTTTTTTTTTTCCTCCAATTGTAAAATAAGTGAGACCCACCTGTTCTTTGCCTCAGATTATTGTGGGGTTTTCTTTTTTTTTTTTTTAAATCACAATTATGTACTGGTTCTAACGTTCTCTTTTGTGTGTTATTCCATCCCTTCATCTGTAGGAATGCCATTACACTGTGCTTGGAGATGCTTTTAAGGAATGCTTTGTGAGTAGACCACATCCCAAGCCAAAGCAGTTTTCAAGTTTTGAAAAAAGAGCAAAGATATTCTGTGCCCGACAGAACTGCAGCCATGACTGGGGAATCCATGTGAAGTACAAGACATTTGAGATTCCAGTTATAAAAATTGAAAGTTTTGTGGTGGAGGATATTGCAACTGGAGTTCAGACACTGTACTCGAAGTGGAAGGACTTTCATTTTGAGAAGATACCATTTGATCCAGCAGAAATGTCCAAATGATATCAGGTCCTCAATCTTCAGCTACAGGGAATGAGTAACTTTGAGTGGAGAAGAAACAAACATAGTGGGTATAATCATGGATCGCTTGTACCCCTGTGAAAATATATTTTTTAAAAATATCTTTAGCAGTTTGTACTATATTATATATGCAAAGCACAAATGAGTGAATCACAGCACTGAGTATTTTGTAGGCCAACAGAGCTCATAGTACTTGGGAAAAATTAAAAAGCCTCATTTCTAGCCTTCTTTTTAGAGTCAACTGCCAACAAACACACAGTAATCACTCTGTACACACTGGGATAGATGAATGAATGGAATGTTGGGAATTTTTATCTCCCTTTGTCTCCTTAACCTACTGTAAACTGGCTTTTGCCCTTAACAATCTACTGAAATTGTTCTTTTGAAGGTTACCAGTGACTCTGGTTGCCAAATCCACTGGGCACTTCTTAACCTTCTATTTGACCTCTGCGCATTTGGCCCTGTTGAGCACTCTTCTTGAAGCTCTCCCTGGGCTTCTCTCTCTTCTAGTTCTATTCTAGTCTTTTTTTATTGAGTCCTCCTCTTTGCTGATCCCTTCCAAGGGTTCAATATATATACATGTATATACTGTACATATGTATATGTAACTAATATACATACATACAGGTATGTATATGTAATGGTTATATGTACTCATGTTCCTGGTGTAGCAACGTGTGGTATGGCTACACAGAGAACATGAGAACATAAAGCCATTTTTATGCTTACTACTAAAAGCTGTCCACTGTAGAGTTGCTGTATGTAGCAATGTGTATCCACTCTACAGTGGTCAGCTTTTAGTAGAGAGCATAAAAATGATAAAATACTTCTTGAAAACTTAGTTTACTATACATCTTGCCCTATTAATATGTTCTCTTAACGTGTGCCATTGTTCTCTTTGACCATTTTCCTATAATGATGTTGATGTTCAACACCTGGACTGAATGTCTGTTCTCAGATCCCTTGGATGTTACAGATGAGGCAGTCTGACTGTCCTTTCTACTTGAAAGATTAGAATATGTATCCAAATGGCATTCACGTGTCACTTAGCAAGGTTTGCTGATGCTTCAAAGAGCTTAGTTTGCGGTTTCCTGGACGTGGAAACAAGTATCTGAGTTCCCTGGAGATCAACGGGATGAGGTGTTACAGCTGCCTCCCTCTTCATGCAATCTGGTGAGCAGTGGTGCAGGCGGGGAGCCAGAGAAACTTGCCAGTTATATAACTTCTCTTTGGCTTTTCTTCATCTGTAAAACAAGGATAATACTGAACTGTAAGGGTTAGTGGAGAGTTTTTAATTAAAAGAATGTGTGAAAAGTACATGACACAGTAGTTGCTTGATAATAGTTACTAGTAGTAGTATTCTTACTAAGACCCAATACAAATGGATTATTTAAACCAAGTTTATGAGTTGGTTTTTTTTCATTTTCTATTTGTATTTTATTAAGAGTGTCTTTTCTTATGTGATTTTTTTTAATTGCTATTTGATATGGTTTGGCTATATGTCCCCACCCAAATCTCATCTTGAATTATAATCCCCATGTGTCAAGGGAGGGACCTGACGGGAGGTGATTGGATCACGGGGGCAGTTGTCCCCATGCTGTTCTTGGGATAGTGAGTTAGTTCTCATGAGATCTGATGGTTTTATAAGTGTTTGACAATTCCTCCTTTACACACACTCTCTCTCTCATCTGCTGCCATGTAAGACTTGCCTGCTTCCCCTTCTGCCATGATTGTAAGTTTCCTGAGGCCTCCTCAGCCATGTGGAACTGTGAATCTATTAAGCCTCTTTTCTTTATAAATGACCCAGTCTCAGGCAGTTCTTTATAGCAGTGTGAAAACAGACTAATACACTATTGTTTAAGAACTCCAATAGGATGTGTAAAACATCTACTAGAAATAGATTTAATAAGATAAAAGTTATTATTATTATTTTTTTTTCTGAGATGGAGTCTCACTCTGTTGCCCAGGTTGGAGTGTAGTGGTGTGATCTCGGCTCACTGCAACCTCTGCCTTCTAGGTTCAAGTGATTCTCCTGCCTCAGCCTCCCACATAGCTGGGTACAGGCACCCACCACCACACCCGGCTAAATTTTTTTATTTTTAGTAGAGTCGGGGTTTCACCATGTTGGCCAGGCTGGTCTTGAACTCCTGACCTCAAGTGATCCACTTGCCTCGGCCTCCCACAGTGTTGGGATTACAGGCGTGAGTCACCATGCCTGGCCAAGAAAAGTTCTTTTAAGTATGTAAATGATTCAATTTGGATGAAGGTGAATAGCCCTATTCAGCCAACTGAGGCAGGCAGACTGAAGTGAAAATAAATAAGGAGAACTTAGCATTTCCTTGTTTGACTTTTAATGGAATAATGTCATTGCCAGGCATGGACTCAAACAAAGTAGGCACTTGGTTAATATGTATTGAATGAAAGAAATGAGCAGGTAGGCTTTTAGGAAGTGGATCTTTTGACTGACTCCCAAATGCTGGTCATTGCATTTCTAGAACAAAGGCCACATTTTAGAAACAACTGGGGAGTCTTTTTCATGGACACATGCCCAGCCCCATTAGAGCATCCTGGCAGGGTGTCCAGCCGTGTATGTTTTGAAGCTCCTGTGGTTCAGACACAACCTGTTACACAACTACCACCTTGTTATCTCTGTGGTCCTGGCCTGTGCTGATGCTGTGATATTTTCACCCTGAAATGAAGAGTCATCCCAACATCAAGGTCAGTAAACCAATTCCTGTCCTTAAAATGGATTCATTATTATTTGAATTTCAAACAACAGACCAACCATAGCTCAATGTTTCTCAAGAGTATCCTGTGGAGCACAGTGCGTGAACGCCCAGAAGAAAGCAGTCTGTGGTCAGGTGGGTTTCTGTGCCATTTGCTGCCACCTTCCCTGCAAACAGTGATTTACAGCACACATTGTTCTTGTGTCTGTTCTGCAGTGATAAAACCCATTTAACTCAGTGGTTCCCAAATGTACTGACCGTGGAACTGTTTTACTCAGGGGACACTGTTAACATCCTGTAGAAGCACAGTAGCAGGTATCCAGCCTGCATACGATAAGACAACCAGAACCAAATTTGGCAGGTACATGTCTGGAACTCTGTTTCATTATGCCGTAAAATAAAACTACGAATTTCATTCAACAAATCTGTACTGAATAAGTAGGCTTCACTCTTGGGATGTCAACTTTTAAAACTTACTTAATATCAGCTATCGTTATATAATCTTTGTTCATAATGACGCTGTCTGGTTGAACACAAACTGGCTGGGTGTTAAATTCCACTTGTGTTTATGATATTTAATAATGTCCTAAGAAGGCAGCCAGTAGAACCTTGGCTACTGTTTTTCAAAAGTGGCTCTGCATTGCTCCTACATAACCCCGTACATTACTCCACAGTCCTGTTAGAGCCCTGAAAGGGAAACTGCTAAAAATAAGGTTCTTCATTTAGGTGACTAGGAACTCCCAATATTTTTGCCCTAGGGAATACTGGGAGACAAATCTCTACGATCACAAATTACTAATGGTTTCCCCAGAACTGCTGGTGGCCATATCCCCTGGCATGTGGAAGGGCCCAGAAGAGGCCACTCTACTGCAGAGGCCAACAGAAGGTATGATTGGTGGAGGGATGGGGGGGTGGTTGGAGGGGCAAATGGAAGGGAGCTTGAGTCACTAGATCCAATCAAGCCCATAGTCATGGCCACCACTGTCCTCAAGTTCTATGAGCCAGCTTTTTTTTTTTTTTCCTTAAGCTAATTTGAGCTGTGCTTCTACCACAGCTAAGATTCATGCCTAATATATCTTTTCCCTAGATTACTCCCTATGTACCATAAAAATCTGGTGTGTAAATACACATGAAGGGCATCCCTCATCCTTATTTGCTATATTAAAAATATTAACTAACTCTTAGCTTGCTGCGGATGCCAGGAATGCAGTAATGAATTTGGAAAACTATCCAAACAAACAGGGGAATCTTCATTCGCAAAGAATATGGGAGGGAGAACAGCAGATTTTTAATTTGGATAGTAAGACGAGCAGCCCTTAAAGAACCAGGTAAAAGAAGTTGGTTTATTTAGGCTTGTTAGTGGGCAAGGTTGAGACACTGGCCAAGATACTTTTTTTTTTGGGGGGGGGGGGGGTGGTGATTGATTGATAGGGTCTCACTCTATTGCCCAGGCTGGAGTGCAGTGGAGCAATCATAGCCACGACCTCCCAGGCTCAAGTGATCCTCCCACCTCAGCCTCCTGAACAGCTGGGACCACAGGTGCACACCTGGCTGATTTATTTTATTTATTTATTTATTTATTTTTTTTTTTGTAGAGTGTTGCCCAGGCTGGTCTCAAACTTCTGGGCTCAAGCAACCCTCCAGCCTCGGCCTCCCAAAGTGTTGGGATCATAGGCATGAGACACCGTGCCTGGCGAAGATATTTTTACCGAAAAGGACAGAGGGTGTACTTGGAGGTAAGGGACCCAATTCCATTAGTCTAGCCACAATAATGTGTTTGTTTCCTCATAACCACAGTCTTGGTTGGGCTGCTGTAACTAAATATCAACTGGGTGGCTTATAAACAATAGAAATTTCTCACAGTTCTGGCTGGAAAGTCTAGGTTCAAGGCACTGGCAGATTCAGTATCTGGTGAGAACCCACTTTCTGGTTCACGGATGGTGACTTCTTGCTGTGTTCTCCCATGGCAGAAGAAATGAGGGGGTCTCTATCTTATCTTGAGTCTCTTTTAAAAGGCACTACCCTCATGATCTAATCACCTTCCAAAGGCCCCAGCTTCTATTACCATTACCTGGGGGGTTAAGGTTTCACCACCTGAATTTTGGGGAGGATACAAAAATACAGACCACAGGAGCCACTGAATGCGGGGAGCGAGACAGCTCCCCAGCTGCTCAGTAATGGAGAGCTGAGAGGGTGGAGGTCTGTTTTCTCAGCCATTCTTAGTGTTTTTATTCTAGGACTGATCTTAACTTGAGGATCACAGGTTTTTTTGTACAATGGAGTTCTGTTTGTTTGTAATTTTTTTTTTTTTTTGAGACGGAGCTTTGCTCTTGTAGCCCAGGCGGGCGTGCAATGGCACGATCTCGGCTCACTGCAGCCTCTGCATCCCGGGTTTAAGCAATTCTCCTGCCTCAGCCTCCTGTGTAGCTGGGATTACAGGCACACAATACCACACCTGGCTAATTTTTTGTATTTTTAGTAGAGACGGGGTTTCACCATGTTGGCCAGGCTGGTCTAGAACTCCTGACCTCAGGTGATCTACCCACCTCGGCCTCCCAAAGTGATGGAATTATAGGCATGAGCCACTGCGCCTGGCTGTTTGTTTGTAATTTATTTTTTAAATGAATATAAATAAGATCCCCAGGACCGCAAGTGCAGGGATGCTAAATAACCTGTCTTGATCCCTCATCTGGTGAGAAGTAGAAAGAGGATTAGATTCCAGATGTTCTGATGACCAGGCCATATCCCCTGAGTGCTAAGGTTGACATTAAAAATTCATTACAAAGATCCTGCCCTCCTGTCCTTGGACATCACAGCTCCTGCTTGTTCCTGGGCATTCAGACTCTGGGACTTATACCAGCATTCCCCATGCCCCTCCCCAGGTTCTTAGGCATTTGGACTTGAACCAAGTTGTTATACCACCAGCTTTCCTGGGTCTCCATAAGAGTGGGACCCTGATCCAATACAATTAGTGTTGCTGTAAGAAGAGACATGAGAGCCTATTTTCTCTCTCCCCCACCAGGCACATACCAAAGAAATGCCATGTGAGAACAAGCAAGAAGGTGGCCATCTGTAAACCAGGAAGAGTGTCCTCACCAGAAAATGAAGTGGCTTCAACTTTGATCTCAGAATTCCAGCCTCCATAACTGTGAGAAAATACATTTCTGTTCTTTCAGCCAGTCTATGGCATTACATTATAGCAACCCAAGCAAACTAAGGCATGCCCAGAAATGACTACAGGGGTAAAAATGAGCAGATAATTGGTTTTTAGTGTCCTGAAGTTTATCTGCTTTTCCTTATGTACTTATATCGTTGCCACTGCCACCAGGCTACTCTTCCTTCTTGTCTGCTCCCAAACAGGGAAGAGCGAGCATAATGGTTCCTAAACATTTCCGTTATACCCGTACAGTTCTGATAGAGTTGTAAAAATGGGAGAATATGAAGGTTATTCAGGCTTCCCAATGATATGGTGTGAGATTCACTCTGTACTAAATATCCCAAAACTCTAGCCACAAACACAGCAAAACTCAAAGTCAACAAGTTTTCACTGAAAATAGATTTCATTTCATTCAAATTAGAAATGTGTTCTCCCAAACCGCCTCCCAACAAAGGTCTCTGCTTGATAAATGAAAAGATAGTAAAAGAAAACTTCACATTTCTTTTTATGTGGATCTATCAAAAGGTACATAATCAAAACAACTTTAACACCCGACCTATCCATGAGGAGTCTGGATGATTCACTCTGAAGGAAAAGGGGAGAGAAGAGAGAATCACTGCTCTGATTTGAAGTGTGCAAAGTTCTTATCTATGTCACTTAACACTGGTATAATTAATACAGAAAGGAAAATGACCCTCAAGAGGAAGGTTTCATTGAGCAGAGCGTAAGAGGAACAATAAGAGGGTAGGAGACACCTCCTGAGAAGGTTTGCTTGTGTTCAGCTGAAGATTAATAGGAAACAGTGAAAAAGCAACGTCCTGTGATCAGTAACTTTAAAGACAAGCTTGGTTCTCTCTTTCTGGCACTACTGACATTCCCACCATTCTAGCTTCCAAATTCTGGAAAAAGAGAAGATGATTAACAAAAATAGAGAATGTAGAAACTTCTGGTTTTGTGCCTACAGGATTGGCACCAGACCCTCAGTGCTCACTTGCTCCATCTACAAGGCAGCACCCCTCCCAGAGGCAGCCAGGGAGGCCTCTCCACCAGGGCCTGCGCTGGCTGGTGGTGCGGCTTCCTCCCTGGGCGCAGCACCAAGTGCACGTCTCCTACTTGGCCATCTTGCGGATCATGTAGTTGAGGATGCCCCCGTTGAGGAAATAAGTGAGCTCCACATCAGTGTCAAACCTCATGACAGCCTGGAAGGTCTTGCCAGTATCCAGCTGTGGCACAAAGAAACAGAAGCATCATTGAGGGAGGTGGCGAGACAGCTCTGCTCGGAGGAAATTCTGCCCAGCCTGCCCCTCAGGTGTGGTCCACACTTCAGTAACACCAGCAGCACATGAGGACATGCAAGGCTGCTGGCCCCAGCCCAGACCCACTAAATCAGAAGATGCATTTCAGCAAGATCTCTGGGAGGCTGCTTTGCCCATTACAGTTTGAGAATCACTGCAGACTGTAAATGATGGGGGTGAGAGCCATCTAAGAACTAGAAATAGCTTCTCAGGGCAGTAGCTATTAATGACATCAGGGTGGTATTTTCTAAACCTCTGGGGGCTCCCTGTGGACAGAAGTATTCAATCAGCAGAGATTTCATTAAGGTTGTCCCTTAGGCAGCTGGCCCATCTGCTTATCTGAGACACAGACTTTTGCACTGCCTCTGTCTGGGGCACCGAATGACCCCTGGGACCTGGTGCTGGGCACTTTATCTTTACCTTGCCTAGGGATCTATCATTTTCACTCTTGGGCTAATCAAAGCCTGGTGCCTATGGGCAGGCTTAGGGAGGGGTGAGTATATCTGTTGCTCACGTTTTTATAGTGAAATGTTTTAGGTAATGTGAAATGTCACATCCCTGAGCTCTCATCACGAGAGACCGGGAACAGGGTACAGTAGGGGGTGGGAGGTAAGAATGGAACTGAGGATAACTCTGTGAATAAACAGAGAAATTAAATCCATAGGCATCATCCTATGCTATGAAGGCAGGTAGAAAAGATGCTAGTAGGCCTCCTAAGTCTAATGCAGTCCTCCTGAGTGATATTTTTTGCCTTCTAAACCTCACTAATTTCCTTCTAACAAGACTGGTTACAAACGAGGGGGCCCCTTTCGACAGGGCCTGGCATAGAGAGGCTCCAGCTTACCTTGACCTGGACTTTCATTTGTGGTTTGAGGTTTTCTGGAATAATGATAGTGTATCGTTCTTGCCCTGTGAGCCCCAGGGCATCTGCATTCTCACCAGGGAGATATTCAAGTGGGATCACACCCATCCCAACCAGGTTACTGCGGTGAATGCGCTCGTAGCTCTCGGCCAGGACGGCTTTGATTCCCTGATGAATAAAGACAGTAGTTTAGACATACTTCCAATCTTTTCTTTGGATACACAGGTTTACAAAAGACTTTGTGAGAGAGCTGGCATGATGGCCGAATAGGAACAGCTCCAGTCTGCAGCTCCCAGTGAGACTGACACAGAAGGCGAGTGATTTCTGCATTTCCAACTGAGGTACCCGGTTCATCTCATTGGGACTGGTTGGACAGTGGGTGCAGCCCATGGAGGATGCGCTCAAGTGGGGTGGGGCGTCACCTCACCTGGGAAGCACAAAGGGTCAGGAAACTTCCTCTCCTAGCCAAGGGAAGCCATGAGAGACTGTACCAGGAGGAACAGTGCACTCTGGCCCAGATACTGCGCTTTTCCCATGGCCTTCACAACCAGCAGACCAGGAGATTCCCTCCAGTGCCTGGCTTGGTGGGTCCCACCCACAAGGAGCCCAGAAAGCTAAGATCCACTGGCTTGAAATTCTTGCTGCTAGCACAGCAGTCTGAGGTTGACCTGGGATGCTCGAGCTTGGTGGGCAGAGGGGCATCGGCCATTGCTGAGGCTTGAGTAGGTGGTTTTACCCTCACAGTGTAAACAAAGTCTTAAACTGGGTGGAGCCCACCGCAGCTCAGCAAGGCCTACTGCCTCTCTAGATTCCTCCTCTCTGGGCAGGGCATCTCTGAAAAAAAGGCAGCAGCCCCAGTCAGGTACTTATAGATAACACCCCCATCTCCCTGGGACAGAGCACCTAGGGGAAGGGGTGGCTGTAGGTGCAGCTTCAGCACACTTAAATGTCCCTGCTTGACAGCTCTGAATAGAGTAGTGGTCCTCCCAGCACAGCATTTGAGCTCTGATAAAGCCAGATTGCCTCCTCAAGTGGGTCCCCGACCCCCATGTATCCTGACTGGAAGACATCTCATACAGGAGAGCTCTGGCTGGCAGCTGGTGGGTCCGCCTCTGGGACAAAGCTTCCAGAGGAAGGAAGAGGCAGCAATCGTTGCTGTTCTGCAGCTTCCGCTGGTGATACCCAGGCAAACAGGGTCTGAAGTAGGCCTCTAGCAAACTCCAGCAGACCTGCAGCAGAGGAGTCTGCTTGTTAGAAGGAAAACTAACAAACAAAGTAATAGTATCAACATCAACCAAAAGGACATCCACTCAGAGACCCCATCCGAAGGTCACCAATGTCAAAGACCAAAGGTAAATAAATCCACAAAGATGGGGAGAAACCAGCACAAAAACGCTGAACATTCCGAAAACCAGAATGGCTCTTCTCCTCCAAAGGATCACAACTCCTCACCATCAAGGGAACAAAACTAGACGGTGAATGAGATTGACAAATTGACAGAAGCAGGCTTCAGAAGGTGGGTGGTAATAAACTCCTGCAAGCTAAAGGAGCATGTTTTAACCCAATGTAAGGAAGCCAAGAACCTTGAAAAAAGGTTAGGCGAATTGCTAACTAGAATAACCAATTTAGAGAAGAACATAAATGACCTGATAGAGCTGAAAAACACAGCACGAGAACTTCGTGAGTATATACAAGTATCAATAGCTGAATTGATCAAGTGGAAGAAAAGATATCAGAGATTGAAGATCAACTCAATGAAATAAAGCAATAAGAAAAGATTAGAGAAAAAAGAGTGAAAAGAAACAGAGAAAGCCTCCAAGAAACATGAGACTATGTGAAAAGACCAAATTACGTTTGAATGGTGTACTTGAAAGTGACAGGGAGAATGAAACCAAGTTGGAAAACATTCTTCAGGATATTATCCAGGAGAACTTCCCCAACCTAGCAAGGCAGGCCAACATTCAAATTCAGGAAATACATGGAACACCACAAAGATACTCAACAAGACCCATAATTGTCAGATTCACCAAGGCTGAAACAAAAGAAAAAAATGTTAAGGGCAGCCAGAGAGAAAGGTCGGGTTACCCACAAAGGGAAGCCCATCAGACTAACAATGGATCTCTCTACAGACACCCTACAAGCCAGAGGAGAATGGGGGCCAATATTCAACATTCTTAAAGAATTTTCAACCGAAAATTTCATATCCAGCCGAACTAAGCTTCATATGTTAAGGAGACATAAAATCCTTTACAGACAAGCAAATGCTGAGAGATTCTGTCACCACCAGGTCTGCCTTACAAGAGCTCCTGAGGAAAGCAATGAACATGGAAAGGAAAAACCGATACCAGTCACTGCAGAAACATACCAAATTGTAAAGACCATCGATGCTATGAAAAACTGCATCAACTAATGGGCAAAATAACCAGCTAACAGCATAATGACAGGATCCAATTCACACATAACAGTATTAACCTTAAATGTAAATGGGCTAAATGCCCCAATTAAAAGACACAGACTGGCAAATTGGATAGAGTCAAGACCCATCAGTGTGCTGCATTCAGAAGACCCATCTCAGGTGCAAAGACACACATAGGCTCAAAATAAAGGGATGGAGGAAGATTTACCAACTAAATGGAAAGCAAAAAAAAAGCAGGGGTTGCAATCCTAGTCTCTGATAAAACAGACTTTAAACCAACAAAGATCAAAAGAGACAAGGCCATTACATAATGGTAAAGGGATCAATGCAACAAGAAGAGCTAACTATCCTAAATATATATGCACCCAATACATAAAGCAAGTTCTTAGAGACCTACAAAGAGACTTAGACTCCCACACAATAATAGTGGGAGACTTTAACACCCCACTGTCAATATTAGATCAACAAGACAGAAAGTTAACAAGGATATCCAGGACTTGAACTCACCTCTGGACAAAGCTGACCTAATAGACATCTACAGAACTCTCTACCCCAAATCAGTAGAATATACATTCTTCTCAGCACCACACTGCACTTTTTCTAACACTGACCACATAATTGGAAGTAAAACACTCCTCAGCATACACAAAAGAATGGAAATCATAACAACCTGTCTCTCAGACCACAGTGCAATCAAATTAGAACTCAGGATTAAGAAACTCACTCAAAACCACACAACTACATGGAAACTGAACAACCTGCTCCTGAATGACTGGTAAAAAATGAAATGAAGGCAGAAATAAAGATGTTCTTTGAAACCAATGAGAACAAAGACACAACGTACCAGAATCTCTGGGACACACTTAAAGCAGTGTGTAGAGGGAAATTTACAGCACTAAATGCCCACAAGAGAAAGCAGGAAAGTTCTAAAATCGACATCCTAACATCACAGTTAAAAGAACTAGAGAAGCAAGAGCAAACAAACTCAAAAGCTAGCAGAAGGCAAGAAATAACTAAGATCAAAGCAGAACTGAAGGAGACAGAGACACCAGAAACTGTTCAAAAAATCAAATCAATGAATCCAGGAGCTGGTTTTTTGAAAAGATCAACAAAACAGACTGCTAGCCAGACTAATAAAGAAGGAAAGAGAGAAGAATCAAATAGAGGCAATAAAAAATGATAAAGGGAATATCACCAGTGATCCCCCGGAAATACAAAATACCATCAGATAATACTATAAACACCTCTACGCAAATAAACTAGAAAATCTAGAAGAAATGGATAAATTCCTGGACACATACACCCTCCCAAGACTAAACCAGGAAGAAATCAAATCCCTGAATAGACCAATAACAAGTTCTGAAATTGAGGCAGTAATTAATAGCCTACCAACCAAAAAAAGCCCAGGACCAGATGGATTCACAGCCGAATTCTACCAGAGGTACAAAGAGGAGCTGGTACCATTCCTTCTGAAACTATTCCAATCAATAGAAAAAGAGGGAATCCTCCCGAACTCATTTTATGAGGCCAGCATCATCCTGATACCAAAGCCGGGCAGAGACACAACCAAAAAAAATTTGAGGCCAATATCCCTGATGAACATCGATGCAAAAATCCTCAATAAAATACTGGAAAACCGAATCCAGCAGCATATCAAAAAGCTTATCTACCATGATCAAGTGGGCTTCATCCCTGGGATGCAAGGCTGGTTCAACATATGCAATTCAATAAATGTAATCCATCACATAAACAGAACCAAAGACAAAAACCACATGATTATCTCAATAGATGCAGAAAAGGACTTTGACAAAATTCAACAGCCCTTCATGTTAAAAACTCTCAATAAACCAGGTATTGATGGAACATATCTCAAAATAGTAAGAGCTATTATGACAAACCCACAGTCAATATCATACTGAATGGGCAAAAACTGGAAGCATTCCATTTGAAAACCGGCACAAGAGAAGGATGCCCTCTCTCACCCCATCAAAAAGTGGGTGAAGGATATGAACAGACACTTCTCAAAAGACATTTATGCAGCCAACAAACATATGAAAAAATGCTCATCCTCACTGGTCATTAGAGAAATGCAAATCAAAACCACAATGAGATACCATCTCACACCAGTTAGAATGGCGATCATTAAAAAGTCAGGGAACAACAGATGCTGGAGAGGATGGGGAGAAATAGGAATGCTTTTACACTGTTGGTGGGAGTGTAAATTAGTTCAACCATTGTGGAAGATGGTGTGGCGATTCCTTAAGGATGTAGAACCAGAAATACCATTTGACCCAGCAATCCCATTCCTGGGTATATACCCAAAGGATTATAAATCATTGTACTATAAAGACGCATGCACACGTATGTTTATTGTGGCATTGTTCACAATAGCAAAGACCTGGAACCAACCCAAATGCCCATCAATGATTGATAGACTGGATTAAGAAAACGTGGCACATATACACCATGGAATACTATGCAGCCATAAAAAAGGATGAGTTCATGTCCTTTGCAGGGACATGGATGAAGCTGGAAACCATCATCCTCAGCAAACTAACACAAGAACAGAAAACCAAACACTGCATGTTCTCACCCATAAGTGGGAGTTGAACAATGAGAACCCATGAACACAGGGAGGGGAACATCACACACTGGGGCCTGTTGGCGGGTCAGGGGCTAGGGGAGGGATAGCATTAGGAGGAATACCTAATGTAGATGATGGGTTGATGGGTGCAGCAAACCACCACGGCACATGTATACCTGCACATTCTGCACATGTACCCCAGAACTTAAAGTATAATAAAAACACAACAATGAAATACAGCATACAAATAAACAAAAATGTTTGCATATATTTTGTAACCTTTGCCTTGCTACCTCTATAATTCTCCATTTACACCATGTTTTTAGTTAATGTCAGAGTGAAAAATATCACTACACTCATACTACATTCTATCAATGTATAAGAAATGACTTCCGTTATAAAGCGAAGGATGATAAACCTAAAAATCGATCAGCATATGCACATCTGGAAATACTCTGGAGTTCTATTTCTGAAATATTAGTATTAAATACCAAAGAATTGTTTAATTATCTGATGCTGTTGCTTTAAGTAAACTTTTTATTATTTTACTTCAAAGTCTAGAATATCGATAATGAGATGATTCATAGACAGTGATGACAGTAACCTTTTACCTCTGTTATATCTTGAAAAGTCACTTGGTTTTGTGGACTTTTATAGGCCCTCATTTCCAGTAATTGTGTGCTATATTTCAGTGAAATCAGATGTCTAATGTCACAGGAGAAAAAGATGCTTCAGCCTAATTTTGCCATACATCTTCTAGACTGAAGGTCACAATGAAGCGTTTTTTTTACATTAACTTTGTACTCTAAGGGAATTACATCTTGAATACATCTAGGATGACAGAAAATGGCTTAATAAATTTTCAGTTAGTGGTCCTTATTTTTGCCTCATAACACCGTGCTTTCTTCTGTTATATTGCTTTGTAATTGTCTATTTACTGGTCTGTGCCCTACCCCAAATTATAAGCTTCTTGAGCCGGTGATTGTTAAAAAAACAAAAATAAACAAAAGACTTTGTAAGTTAGAACTGTTCTCACACCTAAATTATTTGTAAGTACATATTAATATTTTACATAAAATGTTATCCTCTAGTGATAAATAACACAATAGCTAGTCTTCACTGATTGCTCATAATGTAGAGGCACTATGTAAGCACTTAAATAATTCCTCTCATTCCACCATCCACTAACCCGGGGATGTAGATGCCCTTATTGTCCCCCTTTACCCAGGGAGTCAGTGCTGGTATCTGGTAATTGGACCCATGAAGTCTGACAAATGATATAACATGTTTTAGCAAAGTTACATTGTATCTGGAATCCACATCACAAAACAACATAAAATTTTTCCCTTGATTTTTTTCTACTATTTTAGGTGTATCAGCAGGCACAGAAAGTTCAATCAAAAAAGCAACTTTCAGAACATACCACAGATAAAGTAAATGATTACCTCTTGTGTACTGCTTTTACACTTCCTGCTTCAAAGATGAAATTGTGTTGAATATAGTCTTGATATTAAGCTTAAAGTATGTTTTATTGGGAATCTATAATTGGCAATATACAGCAATAAAGGATGGTACTCCATTAACTAGAACTCCCCATTAGTTTATTATTAATAATTAATAACTGTCATATAATATTAAAATACCCTAAGAGGTCTCTTGGTATCTAGGGCACACTTTTAAGATGCCCAACACCAGGGTCACTTTAGGAGCTTGTTGAAAACATAGATACTTGCGTACTACCCCAGATCTGCTGCATCAGAATGTCTTGCAGGGAGCGTGGGGTGGGAGGGGGCTAGTGATTCTTACAATTTTGAGAACCGTGAACTATAGCGCAATGGTTCTCAACCACTGCTGCATACCAGAATCAGCAGGGGAGGCTTTTAAAATCCCAATGTCCAGGCCTTTCTCCTTACCAATTAAACCAGAATCTCTGGAGATGAGATCCAAACACAGGTATTAAAGTATTAAAAAAAAAAAATCCCATAAGTGTTTCCAAACTTGAGACGCACTGCTACAGAGAGAGGGCAGATTCTTTGGGGCGGTAGATCTTTTCTAGGGTTTTAGGGATAGATGGATGTATTCTAGGGAGGTAGAAAGCTTTCTAAACACACCCTATTCATGTCACTAGCTCTGTGTAAAGGCCATGCTGCTTTGCTTCAGAAGCTGTAAATCATAGCTGTCCACTGCTCTCTGTAAGTACAGTCCAGCACGGCTACGTGGCCCAGCCTGGACAGCTACAGAACAGAAGACTGTATGGCTTCCTGGGCAGCCAGAACTCAAGCGGTTCTATAGAAAAGTCTGGACTCTAGAGAACCCCTGGGGGCCAGTTCTCTTCTTATCCTCTATCAGATCTTAGAGTTCCCTACCTGAGTGCTGACTGCCTGGGTTGCATTTTGGCTACAGCTCCCAACCCCCTTCCTAAAATCCTTTTCTTCTGCAATTATCTGGTTCTTTTCAATAGTTTCCAGAAAAGACAGGCCTTTGACCTACTATCAACTAATCAGAGAACATTTCTATTTTCCTCAGAGCAAAATAACCAATTAAAATAATAGGTGTGATGTTCAAAGACATTATCAGAAGCCTAAATGTCTGGAGAACTGCCTGCCAGACAGCCACATTTTTTTACTGTACTTGTGGATATGAACTTAGTGTTTCCGAGGTGCATTAATTTGCGAGCCACAAATGATTTAAATTGACATCAGGTAAGCCATGTGTACCCCACCCTGAAGATTCAGGCTGGGTGGCATGATTCTTCTCTGCTTTTAGGGCAAGCAAATGCTCAAGAGGCAAAAGCTCTCTGCTCCCTGCATGGCCCCTTCTATGGGGACACCTCAAGAGGTAGAGCCCCGAGATGGCGGAAGGTTCTAAAGAGCTGCCTGGGTATGTGCAGAGTGAGTTTCACTCTCATCGAGAGCCCATAAGCAGATATTCATAGGCAGTGAAGTGCAATTATAAAAAGTGATTCTCCCAATTTTCCAGGAGACTTAGAACCCATTCTTGCCAAAGTAACTCCTGAAAAAGTCCAGGCTCCTTTTCTCTTCTGTGAAACTGACAGATAATACAATGGCCCTGGCTTATTCCTGACATTCACCTGGAACAAGGGACCTGAATAAATTTGGGGTCCTCAGCCTCTGAGAATGTTATAAAAGCCATGACACCTCTCCCCATGAAAGACATACATGTATACTTCTGGATATGTTTTCAGAGACTTCACAGACCCTACCCCAAAACTGTTCTATAGACATGCCCCCAAGGTCCATTAATGAATGATAGATCCAGTTCAACTCTGCATTGCCCTTCACCAAATAAAATAAATCCAGAGGCACCAAGAAGCAGGCCAGGAATAAACACTACCTGCTTTTTTGAGCTTGCTCTTCCTTGACATCTTCTTGGAAAGTAAAGCAACAGGATTTGTGCCTGGGGACCCTCCCAGTTCAGAGGGGAGCTGCCTCCTAGGATGTCTACTTCATACTCACCAGCAGGAAAGGGCCCTTAGCTGCCCAGTCTCGGGAGCTGCCTGCACCGTACTCTTTGCCAGCCAGAACGATCAGGGGAAGGCCTGCCTGCTGGTACCGCTCAGCAGCATCAAACACATCAAGCTGAGGAAGAGAAAAGGAAGTTTTACAGATGCAGGAGAGGCAAAGAATGGACACAGGTCCCCTGAGCCCTGGTGAGGGCGGGGCTGGATGGGTTTGCAGATGGCCAAATCCGTCCAATCATCTTGTCTACAAATTCCCAATTATCTTGATCTTTTTACTTCTACCAAATTAAATTTTGTATTCTTTTTTTTTTTTTTGAGATAGAGTTTCACTCTATTGTCTAGGCTGGAGTGCAGTGGCACGATCTCAGCTCACTGCAACCTCCACCTCCCGGGTTTCAATTGATTCTCCTGCTCCAGTCTCCCAAGTAGCTGGGATTACAGGCGCACACCACCATACCCAGCTAATTTTTGTATTTTTAGTAGAGATGGGGTTTCACCATGTTGGCCAAACTGGTATTGAACTCCTGACCTCAAGTGATCCTCCCACCTCGGCCTCCCAAAGTGCTGGGATTACAGGCGTAAGCCACTGCATCCGGCCTTAAATTTTGTATTCTTAAAAACCATTTTATATTCTTTTGACAGAAATGCCTAATTGTTGTTGGTTTTATAAAAACATTAGAATCCTAAGGCATCAGGGGAGAAAAGGAAACTAGATCAGATTTTTTCTTTTCCATTGACTAAATTATTTTAAAACTCAAAAAACAGAATGTGACCTAAACATTTTGGCTCAATATCAGAAACTCGGTGATGTCAGTTGTAAAATTAGCAAAACACAAAGAAGGTAACATGTTCTGAAATTATATAAAGTGCAAACTTTTATCAGTCCCCTTTCTTCATGGAGGTCAAGGGAAGAGATGCTAGAAATGCAAATGGAAGCCCAATAAAAGGTAGAAAAAGATTAATATTTTAGTACATGAGAAACATCTTATACAAACAGATTTGTTTCTCACAGGGAATCTGAATATCTCACTGAACTGAGACTTTACAAAGACATGATATCATCTCTGGTGGTTGAGCAGTACCATTATTTTTCCAGGCTATGTAAGTCAGAAGATAAAATTCCTCAAAAGAGAGACAGGAGCTAAAGAAAACTCTCAAACAGACTTTCACAAATTTGTATTTTGGTGTACTGATGGAACCTGTGGTTAATTTCGCATGCATTACCTAAACCCGGATAGGATTCTGTATGTCTTCAGCTAGACAGAACTCGTAAATATAGAAACTGTCATAGAAACAGTGAAAACCTTCTTCTAACTGAATTGTCTGGATCCTTTCAAAGACCAGAAAGAAACAACTTATCTGATATTTTCAGAGACTGTAGCTTTGGGTATTAACAATGTGAGAGTGTGTGCTTTAAAAAGTACTGCAAAGTTGACAATCTCATGGCAAAGCACGTCATGTTACCCAAGATCAGAGGGACTAAGCAGGTCTAGAACTCACGTCTCCTGACTTTTCTATTAAACACGCCATGCTGAGAGCCACTGACAGCTTAGAAAGCAACAGCTCCCTGCACTCTTACGCTCTTCTAAAGAGAACATAGCATTTAGCTATTTCTTCTGTTACTGTGCCTGTGTATCTCTAGGTATTATGTTTAAACTACTAGTTCTTGATTTCTCCACTTTTTAAAATTATCTGTCAATATTCTACTTTGAGGATTTACTTCTCTTAACAATCTCTCCTCTTCCACACATCTCCCTTCTTCCCAACCTCCCAATATAGTTATTTTGGTAAGTCAGCATTTGGTGTTTGCATGATTATGACTACATAAATACTATTTACAGCTGAGCCAGGTAATGTGCTGTGATTTCCTTTTCTTGGTGATTTAAGACATGTTTCACTGGAGTCAGTAATTTTCATTTGTTTTGAATGAATTTTTTTGAAAATTACTAATTTTCATTTTTTCTATGTTTTTCCTGTTTCTATGTCCTTACCCATTAATTAAACCCTACAGTACAAATCACCTTTAAAGATATTCAGACACATCAGGCAATTTACCATTTTAAAATCTCTGTCATGGAGCTATCATTCCTGGAGCTCTCAGTCCCGTTCCAACTTGGGCTGACTGCTTGCTCTCTGGGCTTGGTGCATTCCTGTTACAGAGGACTCTTCCTTCACTAGCATCCTGGGGATTCCCTTCATCTGGATCCTATGTCTTCCCTTTTGATTTACTCCCTCATTTTGGTGGAACACATTGCCAAGTAGCTTCCTAAGGAAGGTATTGAGGGCTTTTTTAAGCTTTTGAATATCTGAATGTGTCATTACTTTAAGTGCACTTGACTGATGGTCTGATGGGTGTAGATTTTAGGATGCAAATCATTTTCCTCAGTCTAAGTTTCTAGCATCAAGAAGTCTGGAACATGTCTTATTTCCTGTTGTTTCATGTGAGCTGTTTTTCTCTGGAAATGTTGAGATTTCTCCTTTTGTTGCTCTTAATTTCACAGTGATATAACTTGGAGTGTTTTAAAATTATTTAGATGGGCCTTCAGTGGGCCTTTTCAATCTGGATTCTCAGAGAAATTTTGCTTGTAGTTTTTTGTTTTGTTTTGAAATAATTTCCTCTCTTGCATTTTTTCTGTTCTCTTTTTAACACTTCTATTTAGGCAGGTTGTTAGGGCCTCCTGAGTTCAGTTCTTACATTTTTTTCTCTTATCTTTCTGTTACATATTCTAGGAAATGTTCTCAACTAATCACCTTCTCCTTTGAATTTTCTTTTTAAATTTAAAACATTCTTTCTTGTCTTCTGATTGTTATTTCATAGCAACAGAAAATGAACTCTTCTCTAAGTATATAATTTTTTTCTTTTACTTTTTGCACTCCCCATCACCCTGTTCAAGTCTTGACTCAAATGTCTGTTCATCCTTGATTCTGTCTCATTTAAGATGAGGTTCTAGACATCTGACTAGAAGTTCTATGTCATGCAGGGCTTGTAAATGCGTGTGGTACACTGTGATGTTTATTAGGGGTCCCCCAATGTCTATAACTACAAGTCTTTCCCCTTGGTCTCTAAGGTATTCCATCATTCGACATGTATCTTTTTACATTTAATATTCTGTAACCTCTGCTATCCATTGAACAGGCGTCTGCTGGGCTAGGTACTGGTTATTTCTAAAGAACGAGTTTGTGTTACAAAAATATAATCAGTTACGAGTGAGGCAGTATGTGTGGTGGTAAAGGGCACTGACTTCAGAGCCAGACTTTCTGGGTTTTAATTTCAGCTTTTCCACTGTGTGACCTAAAGGAGTAATATGACCTCTTTATGCTTCACTTCTCAATTTAAAGCACAGATAATCATGGTACCTACCTCAAGGGGTTGTTATGAGCATTACATAAATCAATATATGCCAAGAGCTTAGGAGAACACCTGGAATGTAGTTAAGTGCCATAGACATATTAGCGATTATTATTTTAAAATAAGTCGGCAGGGTTATTTCTCAAGTAAGTTAAACAGTTTACAGGCAATTTCACAGCACTCACTGGGAAGGGAAGTGACACTAAGGACCTATGACATGTACCAGACTCTATGCTAGGTTTTATATTTCATTCCATTTCATTTTAAGCCTCAGAGCGTTCTTCCAAGGTAAGTAGTATTTTTACTTCACAGGTGAGAAAAGCAAGGCTCAGAGATGGAAATAACTTTAAGGCTCCACAGCTAGTATAACGTGGAGCTGGGAACAAACAGTCCCTGCTGCAACATACTGACCACAGTGCTCCCATTAGAACCAAAACATGCCTCCAAGCACCTCTCTACTCCTTCTTTTCATGTGGATTAGATGAATTAAATTACATGCCAATAAAGTCATACAATAGCACTTCTTGATAAATATCCTTTAATTTAACCTGGTATTTCCCCTTCGAATACTTTAAATGAAATGTCACTCAAAGCTCAATTCCTAAGAAAAGAGACTCAGTGAAACCACGGTCTAGAATCTCTAAGCAAGAAGAAAAGGTTTGAATTTGTCAATGATACATTCTATGCATATGGACACCTGGCAAGGAGGACTGTAGTTAGGGTAGGATGGAGCTGTGAAGAAAAACTAAAACCAAAAGGCGAGTAACTGTAAATATCCAACCTCCACCAAGGCTGACAAATGCTAGTGTCTGCAGGAAGCAGAAGACAATACTCACGATTTCCCCAGAAGGCAGATGGATAGTCTGTGGTGCCTGCTTGTTCAAAAATCTGTTTAACAAGCGAATGTTGGCAAATGTTCCCCGTGCCATGACGGCGTCATTACCTCGGCGGGAGCCATAGGAGTTGAATTCTCGTGGAGTTAGGCTAAGAAGGCAAGCAAGAAAGGAGCTGGCTTAGTGAAGCAAGCAAAGATTAACCTTAGCTTACACCAAGAAAAGAAAAAAACAAAACAAAACAAAACATAGACCTGGCTATTTCTCTAAGTCTCCTAAGCATTGTTCTCCATGGCAGAAAAGCTGTCCCCAAAGCTTCAACGGAGAAGAGAGAGAGGTGAGAAGGGGTGGTGAGAGGCATAAGTCAGTATTCTCCTGGGTTAATTGTCTTTCAAATCTGGTTAGAAAAATAAGAAGGAAGTCTAAAAAAGAATGTTTTATTTGTTAGTAGGGTAGCCTATAAAGCTTCATATAAGATAAAGAGCTAAATTAAAAATAAGTGAGAAAATGGAAGCAAAGGGAAGAATTAGGGTAGGCAAATCAGATGGAGCCACAAACAGGGGGAAACACAAAATACGTTCCACAAAGTAACCAGAAATAGTTTCAAATTTGTCCCTGAATTATCAGGAACTCAATGCAAAGGAAAGACACACAGCTGGCAACATAACTTACAACTTTCATGAGAGAAAAATCGAGGCAGTGCTAAAGAGGCAGAACAGCTATTTCTGGTCCCCAAACCAGAGGAAATCTTGTCTGTGGGGCCTCAGTGAAAGGAAACTTTGCAGTGTCAGGAAACATACCTTACAATTAACACCGTGACCAGTTCACTGAGCTGTTCCTTAAAATACTAGGGGGTGGGTGTGTTAATATTATTTAATCAATGGTTAGATAGAATTTAAGGACTGAGAGAGTTTAATGGGTTACAGGAGCAGGTGAGTATGTCTTGGAATCCCTGAAACTATCCAAAATGTTGTGGGTATGTGCATTTTTCTGGGAAGGCATTAGATTTGCTTTCATTCAATTCTCTGACGTGTTCATGCCTCAAAAGGGCTCAACAATCAATAGAAAAAAGGCATTTGGATTCTGTTCCTCAAATTCGCTCTGGGGAATCACTGAAAGAACTGATTCAGCAGATGGGGATAGAAACCAGGAATTTTTATGTCCTCACGTGATTCTCGTGGAAACTCAGATTGGGGAACCACTGACCTCGATTAATATATGAGACAGTAGTTGATAATACTGGCATACCTATGAATATCAGCACACTACTGAAGAACTGATAAACAGATGAGTAAGCTGCAAATCCTCCAAGCAGTGCTCTGTAAACGTTAGGTTTCTCAACCAGGACCTGGCAATGCGTGTCAGGTTCTGCCTCTGCCCCAGGTTAAGAGCAGAGCCTTGTACTTTAAAGATCAGCCAAGCCGGGGGCAGGGATGACAGTTGGGCCTAATATATACACTTGCTCAAATGAAGGTCCCTCTCCCCTTCCCCTTGTTAGGATTCACATGTTGATCGTTTCTCCCATGGAAGCTGTTAAGCAGCAAACAGAAAATGCAATTGGTTTTTACCCCAGGGTTAAGCCTCAGTGCACAACCAAAGAGTCTCATTCCAAAGGGCCAGGTGAAAAGAGAAATGCTGGCCTCATTAACTCCATTCCTCCATTTTTGCCTTTAGTCCTTCCTGCCTCATTCATACTTACCCTCTGTTAGTTAAGTAGCGAGCAGCAGGACTGTTTCTTGCAATATTTCCAGCTGGGGAGATGTGGTCAGTTGTTACCGAATCTCCCAAATTTAGCAGCACATAGGCATCCACTATAGATTTAGGGGGCTGAAGATCCAAAGTCTAGCAAAGAATACAAAAAGTCAGCATTGGCCCAGGTTTTCCCAAACAAGTTACCAGATCAGTCTCTACGATGGTGGCCCATGGACCTGAATCAGAGGACAGTTCCACACCAATGCACAGAAAATTCTAGTGTTCTAGTTTTTATCAAAGAGGCCAAGAAAAGTAAGGTGAATTTACTCAAAACATTCATATCTTACTCTTGAAGAAAAGGTAAAATACTGGCAATATCCCCTCAAAAGCAACAGTAACGCAGCTGCAAATGACATTCTCTCTCTTCACATCCCTAGAACTCCTCAGATGCTAAGGACAACTGGAA